>NT_187364.1:0-66860 GCF_000001405.40 Homo sapiens
GAATTCATTCGATGACGATTCCATTCAATTCCGTTCAATGATTCCATTAGATTCCATTTGATGATGATTCCATTCGATTCCATTTGATGATGATTCCATGCGATTCCAT
This sequence comes from Homo sapiens, assembly GCF_000001405.40. NCBI lineage: Eukaryota > Metazoa > Chordata > Mammalia > Primates > Hominidae > Homo > Homo sapiens. Next base: position 110 of record NT_187364.1, read on the forward strand.
TAGATGATGACTCCTTTCATTTCCATTCAATGAGGATTCCATTCGGTTCCATTTGATGATGATTCCTTTGAATTCCGTTTGATGACAATTCCATTCAATACCAATTGATGATGGTTATTTTTGATTCCATTTGATGATGATTACTTTCGATTCCATTTGATCATGATTCCATTTGATTCCACTCGATGATTCCATTCAATGATGATTCCATTCGAGTTCATTGACTATTCCATTCCATTTCAATCGATGATTCCTTTAAAGTCCATTCGATGATTCTATTCGATTGCATTCGATTATTCCATTCGATTGCATTCGATAATTCCATTCGATTCAATTTGAGGATAATTCCATTTGAGTCCATTCGATGATTATTCCATTCGATTCTATTCGGTGATTCCATTCGATTCCATTTAATAATGATTCCATTCGAGACCATTCGATGATTCCATTCAATTCCATTCAATAATGATTCCATTCGAGTCCATTCAATGATTCCATTCAAGTCCATTCGATGATTCCATCTGATTCCATTCAATGAATCCACTCGATTCCATTCTATGATGATTCCATTCATTTCCATCTGATGATGATTCCATTCGATTCCATTCAATGATTCCATTCGATTCCATTTGATGATGATTTCAATCAATTTCATTCGATGATTCCATTCGAATCCATTCGATGATGAGTCCATCCATTTCAATTTCATGATAATTCCATTCGTTTCAATTCGATGGAGTTTCCATTCGATTCCATTCGATGTTGATTCCATTAGTTTCCATTGGATGATGATTCCATTCGAGTCCATTCGATGATGATCACAATGGATTTCATTCCATAATTCTATTCGATTCCATTTGATGATGATTCCATCTGATTCCATTTGATGATTCCATTCGTTTCCATCCGATGATGATTCCATTCGATTCCATTCAATGATTATTCCATTCGTGTCCATTCAATGATTCCATTCGATTCCATTCGAAGATGATTGCATTCGAGACCATGGATTCTTCCATTCCATTCCATTAGATGATTCCATTCCAGTCCATTCGATGATTCTCTTCGATTCCATTCGATAATTCCGTTTGATTCCGTTTGATGTTGATTCCATTCGAGTCCATTCGATTATAATTCCATTCGATTCTATGCGATGATTCCATTCCATTCCATTTGGAGGTGGTTCCATTCGAGACCATTCGTTGATTGCATTCAATTCATTCGATGACGATTCCATTCAATTCCGTTCAATGATTCCATTAGATTCCATTTGATGATGATTCCATCGGATTCCATTTGATGATGATTCCATGCGATTCCATTAGATGATGACTCCTTTCATTTCCATTCAATGAGGATTCCATTCGGTTCCGTTTGATGATGATTCCTTTGAATTCCATTTGATGACAATTCTATTCAATACCAATTGAAGATGTTTATTTTTGATTCCATTTGATGATGATTACATTCGATTCCATTTGATCATGTTTCCATTCGATTCCACTCGATGATTCCATTCGATTCCATTCAATGATTATTCCATTTGAGTCGATTCGATGACTCCATTCGATTGTATTCGATGGTGATTGAATTCGAGTCCATGGATTAATCCATTGCATTCCATTCGATGATTCCATTCGAGTCCATTCGATGATTCTATTCGATGGCATTCGATAATTCCATTCGATTGCTTTCGATAAATCCATTTGATTCCATTTGAGGATAATTCCATTTGAGTCCATTCGATGATTGTTCCATTCGATTCTATTCGGTGATTCCATTCGACTTCATTTGATAATGATTCCATTCGAGACCATTCGATGATTCTATTCAATTCCATTCAATAATGATTCCATTCCAGTCCATTCGATGATTCCATCTGATTCCATTCAATGAATCTATGCGATTCCATTCTATGATGATTCCATTCATTTCCATCTGATGATGATTCCATTCGATTCCATTCAATGATTCCTTTGGATTCCATTTGATGATGATTTCAATCAATTTCATTCGATGATTCCATTCGAATCCATTCGATGATGAGTCCATCCATTTCAATTTCAAGATAATTCCATTCGTTTCAATTCGATGGTGTTTCCATTCGATTCCATTCGATGTTGATTCCATTAGTTTCCATTAGATAATGATTCCATTCGAGTCCATTCAATGATGATCACATTGGATTTCATTCCATAATTCTATTCGATTCCATTTGATGATGATTCCATCTGATTCCATTTGATGATCCCATTCGATTCCATTTGATGATGATTCCATTCGTTTCCATCCGATGATGATTCATTAGATTCCGTTCAATGATTATTCCATTCGAGTCCATTCGATGATTCCATTCGATTCCATTCGATGATGATTGCATTCGAGTCCATGGATTCTTCCATTCCATTGCATTAGATCATTCCATTCGAGTCCGTTCGATGATTCTCTTCGATTCCATTCGATAATTCCGTTTGATTCCGTTTGATGTTGATTCCATTCGAGTCCATTCGATGATAATTCCATTCGATTCTATGCGATGATTCCATTCCATTCCATTTGGAGGTGGTTCCATTCGAGACCATTCGTTGATAGCATTGAATTCATTCGATGACGATTCCATTCAATTCCGTTCAATGATTCCATTAGATTCCATTTGATGATGATTCCATTCGATTCCATTTGATGATGATTCCATGCGATTCCATTAGATGATGACTCCTTTCATTTCCATTCAATGAGGATTCCATTCGGTTCCATTTGATGATGATTCCTTTGAATTCCGTTTAATGACAATTCCATTCAATACCTATTGATGATGTTTATTTTTGATTCCATTTGATGATGATTACATTCGATTCCATTTGATCATGTTTCCATTCGATTCCTTTCAATGATTATTCCATTTGAGTCGATTCGATGACTCCATTCGATTGTATTCGATGGTGATTGAATTCGAGTCCATGGATTAATCCATTGCATTCCATTCGATGATTCCATTGGAGTCCATTCGATGATTCTATTCGATTGCATTCGATAATTCCATTCGATTGCATTCGATAAATCCATTTGATTCCATTTGAAGAGAATTCCATTAGAGTCCATTTGATGATTGTTCCATTCGATTCTATTCGGTGATTCCATTCGACTTCATTTGATAATGATTCCATTCGAGACCATTCGATGATTCTATTCAATTCCATTCAATAATGATTCCATTCGAGTCCATTCAACGATTCCATTCAAGTCCATTCGATGATTCCATCTGATTCCATTCAATGAATCCATGCGATTCCATTCTATGATGATTCCATTCATTTCCTTCTGATGATGATTCCATTCGATTCCATTCAATGATTCCTTTCGATTCCATTTGATGATGATTTCAATCAATTTCATTCGATGATTCCATTCGAATCCATTCGATGATGAGTCCATCCATTTCAATTTCACGATAATTCCATTCGTTTCAATTCGATGGTGTTTCCATTCGATTCCATTCGATGTTGATTCCATTAGTTTCCATTGGATGATGATTCCATTCGAGTCCATTCAATGATGATCACATTGGATTTCATTCCATAATTCTATTCGATTCCATTTGATGATGATTCCATCTGATTCCATTTGATGATCCCATTCGATTCCATTCGATGATGATTCCATTCGTTTCCATCCGATGATGATTCCATTCGATTCCGTTCAATGATTATTCCATTCGAGTCCATTCGATGATTCCATTCGATTCCATTCGATGATGATTGCATTCGAGTCCATGGATTCTTCCATTCCATTCCATTAGATGATTCCATTCGAGTCCGTTCGATGATTCTCTTCGATTCCATTCGATAATTCCATTTGATTCCGTTTGATGTTGATTCCATTCGGGTCCATTCGATGATAATTCCATTCGATTCTATGCGATGATTCCATTCCATTCCATTTGGATGTGGTTCCATTCGAGACCATTCGTTGATTGCATTCAATTCATTCGATGACGATTCCATTCAATTCCGTTCAATGATTCCATTAGATTCCATTTGATTATGATTCCATTCGATTCCATTTGATGATGATTCCATGCGATTCCATTAGATGATGACCCCTTTCATTTCCATTCAATGAGGATTCCATTCGGTTCCATTTGATGATGATTCCTTTGAATTCCGTTTGATGACAATTCCATTCAATACCAATTGATGATGGTTATTTTTGATTCCATTTGATGATGATTACTTTCGATTCCATTTGATCATGATTCCATTCGATTCCACTCGATGATTCCATTCAATGATGATTCCATTCGACTTCATTGACTATTCCATTCCATTTCAATCGATGATTCCTTTCAAGTCCGTTCGATGATTCTATTCGATTGCATTCGATTATTCCATTCGATTGCATTCGATAATTCCATTCGATTCCATTGGAGGATAATTCCATTTGAGTCCATTCGATGATTGTTCCATTCGATTCTATTCGGTGATTCCATTCGATTCCATTTGATAATGATTCCATTCGAGACCATTCGATGATTCCATTCAATTCCATTCAATAATGATTCCATTCGAGTCCATTCAATGATTCCATTCAAGTCCATTCGATGATTCCATCTGATTCCATTCAATGAATCCACTCGATTCCATTCTATGATGATTCCATTCATTTCCATCTGATGATGATTCCATTCGATTCCATTCAATGATTCCATTCGATTCCATTTGATGATGATTTCAATCAATTTCATTCGATGATTCCATTCGAATCCATTCGATGATGAGTCCATCCATTTCAATTTCATGATAATTCCATTCGTTTCAATTCGATGGAGTTTCCATTCGATTCCATTCGATGTTGATTCCATTAGTTTCCATTGGATGATGATTCCATTCGAGTCCATTCGATGATGATCACAATGGATTTCATTCCATAATTCTATTCGATTCCATTTGATGATGATGAAATCTGATTCCATTTGATGATTCCATTCGTTTCCATCCGATGATGATTCCATTCGATTCCATTGAATGATTATTCTATTCGAGTCCATTCAATGATTCCATTCGATTCCATTCGATGATGATTGCATTCGAGACCATGGATTCTTCCATTCCATTCCATTAGATGATTCCATTCCAGTCCATTCGATGATTCTCTTCGATTCCATTCGATAATTCCGTTTGATTCCGTTTGATGTTGATTCCATTCGAGTCCATTCGATTATAATTCCATTCGATTCTATGCGATGATTCCATTCCATTCCATTTGGAGGTGGTTCCATTCGAGACCATTCGTTGATTGCATTCAATTCATTCGATGACGATTCCATTCAATTCCGTTCAAAGATTCCATTAGATTCCATTTGATGATGATTCCATTCGATTCCATTTGATGATGATTCCATGCGATTCCATTAGATGATGACTCCTTTCATTTCCATTCAATGAGGATTCCATTCGGTTCCATTTGATGATGATTCCTTTGAATTCCATTTGATGACAATTCCATTCAATACCAATTGATGATGTTTATTTTTGATTCCATTTGATGATGATTACATTCGATTCCATTTGATCATGATTCCATTCGATTCCACTCGATGATTCCATTCGATTCCATTCAATGATTATTCCATTTGAGTTGATTCGATGACTCCATTCGATTGTATTCGATGGTGATTGAATTCGAGTCCATGGATTAATCCATTGCATTCCATTCGATGATTCCATTCGAGTCCATTCGATGATTCTATTCGATTGCATTCGATAATTCCATTCGATTGCTTTCGATAAATCCATTTGATTCCATTTGAGGATAATTCCATTTGAGTCCATTCGATGATTGTTCCATTCGATTCTATTCGGTGATTCCATTCGACTTCATTTGATAATGATTCCATTCGAGACCATTCGATGATTTTATTCAATTCCATTCAATAATGATTCCATTCGAGTCCATTCAACGATTCCATTCAAGCCCATTCGATGATTCCATCTGATTCCATTCAATGAATCCGTACGATTCCATTCTATGATGATTCCATTCATTTCCATCTGATGATGATTCCATTCGATTCCATTCAATGATTCCTTTCGATTCCATTTGATGATGATTTCAATCAATTTCATTCGATGATTCCATTCGAATCCATTCGATGGTGAGTCCATCCATTTCAATTTTATCATAATTCCATTCGTTTCATTTCGATGGTGTTTCCATTCGATTCCATTCGATGTTGATTCCATTAGTTTCCATTGGATGATGATTCCATTCGAGTCCATTCAATGATGATCACATTGGATTTCATTCCATAATTCTATTCGATTCCATTTGATGATGATTCCATCTGTTTCCATTTGATGATCCCGTTCGATTCCATTCTTTGATGATTCCATTCGTTTCCATCCGATGATGATTCATTCGATTCCGTTCAATGATTATTCCATTCGAGTCCATTCGATGATTCCATTCGATTCCATTCGATGATGATTGCATTCGAGTCCATGGATTCTTCCATTCCATTCCATTAGATGATTCCATTCGAGTCCGTTCGATGATTCTCTTCGATTCCATTCGATAATTCCGTTTGATTCCGTTTGATGTTGATTCCATTCGAGTCCATTCGATGATAATTCCATTCGATTCTATGCGATGATTCCATTCCATTCCATTTGGAGGTGGTTCCATTCGAGACCATTCGTTGATTGCATTCAATTCATTCGATGACGATTCCATTCAATTCCGTTCAATGATTCCATTAGATTCCATTTGATGATGATTCCATTCGATTCCATTTGATGATGATTCCATGCGATTCCATTAGATGATGACTCCTTTCATTTCCATTCAATGAGGATTCCATTCGGTTCCATTTGATGATGATTCCTTTGAATTCCGTTTGATGACAATTCCATTCAATACCTATTGATGATGTTTATTTTTGAATCCATTTGATGATGATTACATTCGATTCCATTTGATCATGATTTCATTCGATTCTACTCGATGATTCCATTCGATTCCATTCAATGATTATTCCATTTGAGTCGATTCGATGACTCCATTCGATTGTATTCGATGGTGATTGAATTCGAGTCCATGGATTAATCCATTGCATTCCATTCGATGATTCCATTCGAGTCCATTCGATGATTCTATTCGATTGCATTCGATAATTCCATTCGATTGCATTCGATAAATCCATTTGATTCCATTTGAAGATAATTCCATTTGAGTCCATTCGATGATTGTTCCATTCGATTCTATTCGGTGATTCCATTCGACTTCATTTGATAATGATTCCATTCGAGACCATTCGATGATTCTATTCAATTCCATTCAATAATGATTCCATTCGAGTCCATTCAACGATTCCATTCAAGTCCATTCGATGATTCCATCTGATTCCATTCAATGAATCCATGCGATTCCATTCTATGATGATTCCATTCATTTCCATCTGATGATGATTCCATTCGATTCCATTCAATGATTCCTTTCGATTCCATTTGATGATGATTTCAATCAAGTTCATTCGATGATTCCATTCGAATCCATTCGATGATGAGTCCATCCATTTCAATTTCATGATAATTCCATTCGTTTCAATTCGATGGTGTTTCCATTCGATTCCATTCGATGTTGATTCCATTAGTTTCCATTGGATGATGATTCCATTCGAGTCCATTCAATGATGATCACATTGGATTTCATTCCATAATTCTATTCGATTCCATTTGATGACGATTCCATCTGATTCCATTTGATGATCCCATTCGATTCCATTCGATGATGATTCCATTCGTTTCCATCCGATGATGATTCCATTCGATTCTGTTCAATGATTATTCCATTCGAGTCCATTCGATGATTCCATTCGATTCCATTCGATGATGATTGCATTCGAGTCCATGGATTCTTCCATTCCATTCCATTAGATGATTCCATTCGAGTCCGTTCGATGATTCTCTTCGATTCCATTCGATAATTCCGTTTGATTCCGTTTGATGTTGATTCCATTCGAGTCCATTCGATGATAATTCCATTCGATTCTATGCGATGATTCCATTCCATTCCATTTGGATGTGGTTCCTTTCGAGACCATTCGTTGATTGCATTCAATTCATTCGATGACGATTCCATTCAATTCCGTTCAATGATTCCATTAGATTCCATTTGATGATGATTCCATTCGATTCCATTTGATGATGATTCCATGCGATTCCATTAGATGATGACTCCTTTCATTTCCATTCAATGAGGATTCCATTCGGTTCCATTTGATGATGATTCCTTTGAATTCCGTTTGATGACAATTCCATTCAATACCAATTGATGATGGTTATTTTTGATTCCATTTGTTGATGATTACTTTCGATTCCATTTGATCATGATTCCATTCGATTCCACTCGATGATTCCATTCAATGATGATTCCATTCGAGTTCATTGACTATTCCATTCCATTTCAATCGATGATTCCTTTCAAGTCCATTCGATGATTCTATTCGATTGCGTTCGATTATTCCATGCGATTGCATTCGATAATTCCATTCGATTCCATTTGAGGATAATTCCATTTGAGTCCATTCGATGATTGTTCCATTCGATTCTATTCGGTGATTCCATTCGATTCCATTTGATAATGATTCCATTCGAGACCATTCGATGATTCCATTCAATTCCATTCAATAATGATTCCAATCGTGTCCATTCAATGATTCCATTCAAGTCCATTCGATGATTCCATCTGATTCCATTCAATGAATCCACTCGATTCCATTCTATGATGATTCCATTCATTTCCATCTGATGATGATTCCATTCGATTCCATTCAATGATTCCATTCGATTCCATTTGATGATGATTTCAATCAATTTCATTCGATGATTCCATTCGAATCCATTCGATGATGAGTACATCCATTTCAATTTCATGATAATTCCGTTCGTTTCAATTCGATGGAGTTTCCATTCGATTACATTCGATGTTGATTCCATTAGTTTCCATTGGATGATTCCATTCGAGTCCATTCGATGATGATCACAATGGATTTCATTCCATAATTCTATTCGATTCCATTTGATGATGATTCCATCTGATTCCATTTGATGATTCCATTCGTTTCCATCCGATGATGATTCCATTCGATTCCATTCAATGATTATTCCATTCGAGTCCATTCAATGATTCCATTCGATTCCATTCGATGATGATTGCATTCGAGACCATGGATTCTTTCATTCCATTCCATTAGATGATTCCATTCGAATCCATTCGATGATTCTCTTCGATTCCATTCGATAATTCCGTTTGATTCCGTTTGATGTTGATTCCATTCGAGTCCATTCGATTATAATTCCATTCGATTCTATGTGATGATTCCATTCCATTCCATTTGGAGGTGGTTCCATTCGAGACCATTCGTTGATTGCATTCAATTCATTCGATGACGATTCCATTCAATTCCGTTCAATGATTCCATTAGATTCCATTTGATGATGATTCCATTCGATTCCATTTGATGAAGATTCCATGCGATTCCATTAGATGATAACTCATTTCATTTCCATTCAATGAGGATTCCATTCAATTCCATATGATGATGATTTCAATCAATTTCATTCGATGATTCCATTCGAATCCATTCGATGATGAGTCCATCCATTTCAATTTCATGATAATTCCATTCGTTACAATTCGATGGTGTTTCCATTCGATTCCATTCGATGTTGATTCCATTAGTTTCCATTGCATGATGATTCCATTCGAGTCCATTCGATGATGATCACAATGGATTTCATTCCATAATTCTATTCGATTCCATTTGATGATGATTCCATCTGATTCCATTTGATGATTCCATTCGTTTCCATCCGATGATGATTCCATTCGATTCCGTTCAATGATTATTCCATTCGAGTCCATTCGATGATTCCATTCGATTCCATTCGATGATGATTGCATTCGAGTCCATGGATTCTTCCATTCCATTCCATTAGATGATTCCATTCGAGTCCATTCGATGATTCCCTTCGATTCCATTCGATAATTCCGTTTGATTCCGTTTGATGTTGATTCCATTCGAGTTCATTCGATGGTAATTCCATTCGATTCTATGCGATGATTCCATTCCATTCCATTTGGAGGTGGTTCCATTCGAGACCATTCGTTGATTGCATTCAATTCATTCGATGACGATTCCATTCAATTCCATTCAATGATTCCATTAGGTTCCATTTGATGATGATTCCATGCGATTCCATTTGATGAGGATTCCATGCGATTCCATTAGATGATGACTCCTTTCATTTCCATTCAATGAGGATTCCATTCGGTTCCATTTGATGATGATTCCTTTGAATTCCGTTTGATGACAATTCAATTCAATACCAATTGATGATGTTTATTTTTGATTCCATTTGATGATGATTACTTTCAATTCAATTTGATCATGATTCCATTCGATTCCACTCGATGATTCCATTCAATGATGATTCCATTCGAGTTCATTGACTATTCCATTCCATTTCAATCGATGATTCCTTTCAAGTCCATTCGATGATTCTATTCGATTGCATTCGATTATTCCATTCGATTGCATTCGATAATTCCATTCAATTCCATTTGAGAATAATTCCATTTGAGTCCATTCGATGATTGTTCCATTCGATTCTATTCGGTGATTCCATTCGATTCCATTTGATAATGATTCCATTCGAGACCATTCGATGATTCCATTCAATTCCATTCAATAATGATTCCATTCGAGTCCATTCAATGATTCCATTCAAGTCCATTCGATGATTCCATCTGATTCCATTCAATGAATCCATTCGATTCCATTCTATGATGATTCCATTCATTTCCATCTGATGATGATTCCATTCGATTCCATTCAATGATTCCATTCGATTCCATTTGATGATGATTTCAATCAATTTCATTCGATGATTCCATTCGAATCCATTCGATGATGAGTCCATCCATTTCAATGTCATGATAATTCCATTCATTTCAATTCGATGGTGTTTCCATTCGATTCCATTCGATGTTGATTCCATTAGTTTCCAATGCATGATGATTCCATTCGAGTCCATTCGATGATGATCACAATGGATTTCATTCCATAATTCTATTCGATTCCATTTGATGATGATTCCATCTGATTCCATTTGATGATTCCATTCGTTTCCATCCGATGATGATTCCATTCGATTCCGTTCAATGATTATTCCATTCGAGTCCATTCGATGATTCCATTCGATTCCATTCGATGATGATTGCATTCGAGTCCATGGATTCTTCCATTCCATTCCATTAGATGATTCCATTCGAGTCCATTCGATGATTCTCTTCGATTCCATTCGATAATTCCGTTTGATTCCGTTTGATGTTGATTCCATTCGAGTCCATTCGATGGTAATTCCATTCGATTCTATGCGATGATTCCATTCCATTCCATTTGGAGGTGGTTCCATTCGAGACCATTCGTTGATTGCATTCAATTCATTCGATGACGATTCCATTCAATTCCGTTCAATGATTCCATTAGGTTCCATTTGATGATGATTCCATGCGATTCCATTTGATGAGGATTTCATGCGATTCCATTAGATGATGACTCCTTTCATTTCCATTCAGTGAGGATTCCATTCGGTTCCATTTGATGATGATTCCTTTGAATTCCATTTGATGACAATTCCATTCAATACCAATTGATGATGTTTATTTTTGATTCCATTTGATGATGATTACATTCGATTCCATTTGATCATGATTCCATTCGATTCCACTCGATGATTCCATTCGATTCCATTCAATGATTATTCCATTTGAGTCGATTCGATGACCTCATTCGATTGTATTCGATGGTGATTGAATTCGAGTCCATGGATTAATCCATGGCATTCCATTCGATGATTCCATTCGAGTCCATTCGATGATTCTATTCGATTGCATTCGATAATTCCATTCGATTGCATTCGATAAATCCATTTGATTCCATTTGAGGATAATTCCATTTGAGTCCATTCGATGATTGTTCCATTCGATTCTATTCGGTGATTCCATTCGACTTCATTTGATAATGATTCCATTCCAGACCATTCGATGATTCTATTCAATTCCATTCAATAATGATTCCATTCGAGTCCATTCAACGATTCCATTCAAGTCCATTCGATGATTCCATCTGATTCCATTCAATGAATCCATTCGATTCCATTCTATGATGATTCCATTCATTTCCATCTGATGATGATTCCATTCGATTCCATTCAATGATTCCTTTCGATTCCATTTGATGATGATTTCAATCAATTTCATTCGATGATTCCATTCGAATCCATTCGATGATGAGTCCATCCATTTCAATTTCATGATAATTCCATTCGTTTCAATTCGATGGTGTTTCCATTCGATTCCATTCGATGTTGATTCCATTAGTTTACATTGGATGATGATTCCATTCGAGTCCATTCAATGATGATCACATTGGATTTCATTCCATAATTCTATTCGATTCCATTTGATGATGATTCCATCTGATTCCATTTGATGATCCCATTCGATTCCATTCGATGATGATTCCATTCGTTTCCATCCGATGATGATTCCATTTGATTCCGTTCAATGATTATTCCATTCGAGTCCATTCGATGATTCCATTCGATTCCATTCGATGATGATTGCATTCGAGTCCATGGATTCTTCCATTCCATTCCATTAGATGATTCCATTCGAGTCCGTTCGATGATTCTCTTCGATTCCATTCGATAATTCCGTTTGATTCCGTTTGATGTTGATTCCATTCGAGTCCATTCGATGATAATTCCATTCGATTCTATGCGATGATTCCATTCCTTTCCATTTGGAGATGGTTCCATTCGAGACCATTCGTTGATTGCATTCAATTCATTCGATGACGATTCCATTCAATTCCGTTCAATGATTCCATTAGATTCCATTTGATGATGATTCCATTCGATTCCATTTGATGATGATTCCATGCGATTCCATTAGATGATGACTCCTTTCATTTCCATTCAGTGAGGATTCCATTCGGTCCCATTTGATGATGATTCCTTTGAATTCCGTTTGATGACTATTCCATTCAATACCAATTGATGATGGTAATTTTTGATTCCATTTGATGATTACTTTCGATTCCATTTGATCATGATTCCATTCGATTCCACTCGATGATTCCATTCAATGATGATTCCATTCGAGTTCATTGACTAAAACATTCCATTTCAATCGATGATTCCTTTCAAGTCCATTCGATGATTCTATTCGATTGCATTCGATTATTCCATTCGATTGCATTCGATAATTCCATTCGATTCCATTTGAGGATAATTCCATTTGAGTCCATTCGATGATTGTTCCATTCGATTCTATTCGGTGATTCCATTCGATTCCATTTGATAATGATTCCATTCGAGACCATTCGATGATTCCATTCAATTCCATTCAATAATGATTCCATTCGAGTCCATTCAATGATTCCATTCAAGTCCATTCGATGATTCCATCTGATTCCATTCAATGAATCCATTCGATTCCATTCTATGATGATTCCATTCATTTCCATCTGATGATGATTCCATTCGATTCCATTCAATGATTCCATTCGATTCCATTTGATGATGATTTCCATCAATTTCATTCGATGATTCCATTCGAATCCATTCGATGATGAGTCCATCCATTTCAATTTCATGATAATTCCATTCGTTTCAATTCGATGGTGTTTCCATTCGATTCCATTCGATGTTGATTCCATTAGTTTCCATTGGATGATGATTCCATTCGAGTCCATTCGATGATGATCACAATGGATTTCATTCCATAATTCTATTCGATTCCATTTGATGATGATTCCATCTGATTCCATTTGATGATTCCATTCGTTTCCATCCGATGATGATTCCATTCGATTCTGTTCAATGATTATTCCATTCGAGTCCATTCGATGATTCCATTCGATTCCATTCGATGATGATTGCATTCGAGTCCATGGATTCTTCCATTCCATTCCATTAGATGATTCCATTCGAGTCCAGTCGATGATTCTCTTCGATTCCATTCGATAATTCCGTTTGATTCCGTTTGATGTTGATTCCATTCGAGTCCATTCGATGATAATTCCATTCGATTCTATGCGATGATTCCATTCCATTCCATTTGGAGGTGGTTCCATTCGAGACCATTCGTTGATTGCATTCAATTCATTCGATGACGATTCCATTCAATTCAGTTCAAAGATTCCATTAGATTCCATTTGATGATGATTCCATTCGATTCCATTTGATGATGATTCCATGCGATTCCATTAGATGATGACTCCTTTCATTTCCATTCAATGAGGATTCCATTCGGTTCCATTTGATGATGATTCCTTTGAATTCCATTTGATGACAATTCCCTTCAATACCAATTGATGATGGTTATTTTAGATTCCATTTGATGATGATTACATTTGATTCCATTTGATCATGATTCCATTCGATTCCACTCGATGATTCCATTCGATTCCATTCAATGTTTATTCCATTTTAGTTGATTCGATGACTCCATTCGATTGTATTCGATGGTGATTGAATTCGAGTCCATGGATTAATCCATTGCATTCCATTCGATGATTCCATTCGATTCCATTTGATGATGATTTCAATCAATTTCATTCGATGATTCCATTCGAATCCATTCGATGATGAGTCCATCCATTTCAATGTCATGATAATTCCATTCATTTCAATTCGATGGTGTTTCCATTCGATTCCATTCGATGTTGATTCCATTAGTTTCCAATGCATGATGATTCCATTCGAGTCCATTCGATGATGATCACAATGGATTTCATTCCATAATTCTATTCGATTCCATTTGATGATGATTCCATCTGATTCCATTTGATGATTCCATTCGTTTCCATCCGATGATGATTCCATTCGATTCCGTTCAATGATTATTCCATTCGAGTCCATTCGATGATTCCATTCGATTCCATTCGATGATGATTGCATTCGAGTCCATGGATTCTTCCATTCCATTCCATTAGATGATTCCATTCGAGTCCATTCGATGATTCTCTTCGATTCCATTCGATAATTCCGTTTGATTCCGTTTGATGTTGATTCCATTCGAGTCCATTCGATGGTAATTCCATTCGATTCTATGCGATGATTCCATTCCATTCCATTTGGAGGTGGTTCCATTCGAGACCATTCGTTGATTGCATTCAATTCATTCGATGACGATTCCATTCAATTCCGTTCAATGATTCCATTAGGTTCCATTTGATGATGATTCCATGCGATTCCATTTGATGAGGATTTCATGCGATTCCATTAGATGATGACTCCTTTCATTTCCATTCAGTGAGGATTCCATTCGGTTCCATTTGATGATGATTCCTTTGAATTCCATTTGATGACAATTCCATTCAATACCAATTGATGATGTTTATTTTTGATTCCATTTGATGATGATTACATTCGATTCCATTTGATCATGATTCCATTCGATTCCACTCGATGATTCCATTCGATTCCATTCAATGATTATTCCATTTGAGTCGATTCGATGACCTCATTCGATTGTATTCGATGGTGATTGAATTCGAGTCCATGGATTAATCCATGGCATTCCATTCGATGATTCCATTCGAGTCCATTCGATGATTCTATTCGATTGCATTCGATAATTCCATTCGATTGCATTCGATAAATCCATTTGATTCCATTTGAGGATAATTCCATTTGAGTCCATTCGATGATTGTTCCATTCGATTCTATTCGGTGATTCCATTCGACTTCATTTGATAATGATTCCATTCCAGACCATTCGATGATTCTATTCAATTCCATTCAATAATGATTCCATTCGAGTCCATTCAACGATTCCATTCAAGTCCATTCGATGATTCCATCTGATTCCATTCAATGAATCCATTCGATTCCATTCTATGATGATTCCATTCATTTCCATCTGATGATGATTCCATTCGATTCCATTCAATGATTCCTTTCGATTCCATTTGATGATGATTTCAATCAATTTCATTCGATGATTCCATTCGAATCCATTCGATGATGAGTCCATCCATTTCAATTTCATGATAATTCCATTCGTTTCAATTCGATGGTGTTTCCATTCGATTCCATTCGATGTTGATTCCATTAGTTTACATTGGATGATGATTCCATTCGAGTCCATTCAATGATGATCACATTGGATTTCATTCCATAATTCTATTCGATTCCATTTGATGATGATTCCATCTGATTCCATTTGATGATCCCATTCGATTCCATTCGATGATGATTCCATTCGTTTCCATCCGATGATGATTCCATTTGATTCCGTTCAATGATTATTCCATTCGAGTCCATTCGATGATTCCATTCGATTCCATTCGATGATGATTGCATTCGAGTCCATGGATTCTTCCATTCCATTCCATTAGATGATTCCATTCGAGTCCGTTCGATGATTCTCTTCGATTCCATTCGATAATTCCGTTTGATTCCGTTTGATGTTGATTCCATTCGAGTCCATTCGATGATAATTCCATTCGATTCTATGCGATGATTCCATTCCTTTCCATTTGGAGATGGTTCCATTCGAGACCATTCGTTGATTGCATTCAATTCATTCGATGACGATTCCATTCAATTCCGTTCAATGATTCCATTAGATTCCATTTGATGATGATTCCATTCGATTCCATTTGATGATGATTCCATGCGATTCCATTAGATGATGACTCCTTTCATTTCCATTCAGTGAGGATTCCATTCGGTCCCATTTGATGATGATTCCTTTGAATTCCGTTTGATGACTATTCCATTCAATACCAATTGATGATGGTAATTTTTGATTCCATTTGATGATTACTTTCGATTCCATTTGATCATGATTCCATTCGATTCCACTCGATGATTCCATTCAATGATGATTCCATTCGAGTTCATTGACTAAAACATTCCATTTCAATCGATGATTCCTTTCAAGTCCATTCGATGATTCTATTCGATTGCATTCGATTATTCCATTCGATTGCATTCGATAATTCCATTCGATTCCATTTGAGGATAATTCCATTTGAGTCCATTCGATGATTGTTCCATTCGATTCTATTCGGTGATTCCATTCGATTCCATTTGATAATGATTCCATTCGAGACCATTCGATGATTCCATTCAATTCCATTCAATAATGATTCCATTCGAGTCCATTCAATGATTCCATTCAAGTCCATTCGATGATTCCATCTGATTCCATTCAATGAATCCATTCGATTCCATTCTATGATGATTCCATTCATTTCCATCTGATGATGATTCCATTCGATTCCATTCAATGATTCCATTCGATTCCATTTGATGATGATTTCCATCAATTTCATTCGATGATTCCATTCGAATCCATTCGATGATGAGTCCATCCATTTCAATTTCATGATAATTCCATTCGTTTCAATTCGATGGTGTTTCCATTCGATTCCATTCGATGTTGATTCCATTAGTTTCCATTGGATGATGATTCCATTCGAATCCCTTCGATGATTCCACTTGATTCCATTTGAAGATGATTCCATTCGAATCCATTTGATGATTCCCCTCGATTCCATTCAATGACTCTGTTCAATCCCATTCGATGATTCCCTTCGATTCCATTCGATGATCATTCCATTTGATTCAATTCAGTGATTCCATTCGATTCCACTTGATGATGATTCCATTTGAGTCCATTCGATGATTCTATTCAATTCCATTCATTGAATATTCCATTCGAATCCATTTGATGATTCCTTTTGACTCACTTCGATGATTCCATTTGATCCCATTCGATGATTCTCTTTGATTCCATTCGATTATCATTCCATTCTATTCAATTCGGTGATTCCATTCGATTCCATTCAATGATGATTCCATTTGATTCGACTCGATTATGATTCCATCCAATTCCATTCGATGATGACTCCGTTTGCTTCCATTTGATGATGATTCATTCGGTTCCATTCGATGATGATTCCATTTGGTTCCATTTGATGATTCCTTTCGATTACATTTGTTGACAATTCCATTCGATTCCACTCAAAGATGATTCCATTCAATTCCATTCGATGATGATTCCATTTGATTCCATTTGATGATGATTCCATGTGATTTCATTCAATGATTCTATTTGATTCCATTCGATGATGATTCCCTTCTATTCTATTCGATGACTCCATTTGATTCCATTTGATGATGATTCTGTTCGATTCCATTTGATGATGATTCCATTCGATTCCATTCTATGATGATTCCATTCGAGTCCATTCGATGATTCCGTTTGATTTCATTTGATGATGATTCCATTCATTCCATTCGATGATTCCATTCTATTCCATTTGATGGTTATTCCATTTGAGTCGAATCGATGATTCCATTCGAGTCTATTGAATGATTCTCTTGGATTCAATTCGATGATGATTACATTTTATTCCATTCAATGATTCCATTTGTTTCCATTCGTTGATGATTCCATTCGATTCCTTTCAGTGATGATTCCTTTCGATTTCATTCGTTGATGATTCTCTTCGGTTCCATTTGATGATGATTCCTTTTGATTCCATTTGATGATGATTTCCTTCTATTCCATTCAATGATGATTCCATTCCATTTCATTCGATGATTCTATTCGATTCAACTCGAAAATGATTCCGTTCGATTCCATTTGATGATGATTCCATTTGATTGCACTCAATGATGATTCCATTTGGTTCCATTCGAAGATTCCATTCGATTCCATTTGATGATGGTTCCATTGGTGTCCACTCGATGATTCCATTCCATTCCATTCGATAATGATTCTATTCAATTCCATTCGATGATGATTCCAATCGTTTCCATTCAATGATGATTCCATCTGTTGCATTTGATGATTCTGTTTGATTCCATTCGAAGATGAATCCATTCTATTCGAGTCGATGATTCCATTCGATTCCATTTGATGATGATTCTATTCGATTACATTTGATGATGAATCCATTCGAATCCATTCAATGATGATTCCATTTATGTCCATTCGATGTTTACATTTGATTCCATTCAATGACAATTCCATTCAAGTCCATTACATCATTCCCTTCGATTCCATTCGATGATGATTCCATTTGATGCCATTAAATGATTCCATTTCATTTCATTCTATGATGATTCCATTCTAATCCATTTGATGATACCATTCCATTCCATTCGATGATGATTCCATTCGAGTCCACTCGATGATTCCATTCGATTCCAATCGATGATGATTCCATTTGGGTCCATTGGATGATTCCATCTGATTCCATTCGATGATGATTCCATTCGAGTCCATTCGATGATTCCATTCGATTCCATTCTCCGATTATTACATTCGAGTCCATTCGATGATTGCACTCGATTCCATGTGATGAAGATTCCATTTGATTCCATTTGATGATTCCATTCCATTCCATTCAATGATGATTCCATTTGGGTACATTAGATGGTTCCATTCGATTCCATTCGATGATGATATTATTCGTGTCTATTACATGATTTCATTCGATTCCATTCGATGATGATTCAATTCTATTCAATTTGATGATGATTCCATTCGGGTCCATTAGATGATTCCATTCGATTCCATTCGATGATTCCATTTGATTACATTTGATGATGATTCCATTTGATTCCATTTGATGATTCCATTCTATTCCATTTGATGATGATTCCATTCGCTTCCATTCAATGATGATACCATTTAATTCTATTCGATGATGATTCTTTTCGAGTCCATCCGTTTATGATTCCATTCAAGTCCATTGCATGATGATGCCTTTCGATTCCATTCGATGATGACTCCGTTCGATTCCATTCAATGATGATTCCTTTTGATTCCATTCCATGATAATTCCATTCTATTCCATTCGATGATGATTCCATTCCATTCCATTCCATTGCATGACATTCCATTTCATCCGATTCCATTCCACTCCATTCCACTCCTCTCTTCTGCACTCCATTCCACTCCATTGCATTCCATTCCATTCTATTCCACTGCTTTCCATTCCATTGCTTTCTTTCAAGAGTGTCTCACTCTGTCACCCTTCCTGTAGCACAATGGGACAAACTCATCTCCCATTCCATTCCATTCCTCTCCATTCAATTCCATTCGATTCCATTCCATTCCATTCCATTCCATTCCATTCCATTCCATTCCATTCCATTCCATTCGAAAAAGAAAAAGAGTTGCAAAGTCATACTCACTTTTCTGCTCTTGTCAGACAATTAAGGGTTCTTTGAATACTTCAGCCCTAATAATTTTCTTTTTATCATACATATTGCAGTGCTTATCTAATTTTAAATATATTTTTGTTTCAAAACCCAGTTTCTTATTTGTTCTATCTGTAAGTTTGCAATATATTTTACTCTCTGTTCATTCTTTGATTTCAGAACTTCAATCTTTCTGAAGCATATTTTCAGAGTTTCTCTGTAGTTTCTTTAGTGGAATTCTGCTGGTGGCGTTTTGTTTTTTATCTATAAATATGTTATTTAGCCATAGGTTGATGAATATTTTTATTAGTTTAAAAATTCAGAATGGCATTATTATTCTTAACAAATAATATTGTTTATTTTACATTTCATTTTTTTCAGATTTCAATATGATTAAAAGTAATTTCATTTTTCTAGTGCTAATTGAAATATTTTTACCTTCCTCGTTGTTTACTATTTCTCTAGCAGATACATAGGTGTAGGTTTATCTCCATTGTAGCTTGCTTAGCAACCATGGAATTTTTGAATATGCAGATTAGTGTCTTACAAATGTCTAGGGAAATTTCAGCCAAAATAAAATCACATATTGTCCCTTCCCAGTTCCATTCTTCTACGAGAACACTCTCTAAACACATGCTACACTTTATCACTGTATCTTCCATAACTCTTCATGATTCTCTCCACATTTTACATGTTTTAAAATTTTCTGTAATGCATTCTGAAATATTTATGAACTCTCACCTTGGCCATGTCTAATCTGATGAGTACATTTTTGAGATTTTAATTTAAAATAACTATATTTTTATGCAAACTACTTTTCAAATTTGCTACATCAATTTTTTAGTCTCCTAACAATATATTCAATTTTTAAAAAAAATTTTGAAAGCAAATGTGCTTTATAATCTAACAATGATATTTCTACTAATGAACCTTTGTGGATCTGTTTGTACTCTTTTTCTGCTTTCCTTTCAAATGGTGGAATATCATTTCCTTGCATATTTAGATGCCTTTGAATGACAAATATTTATTTTTCTCTGAAAATTATTTTTGTGCGCTTTTGCCGATTAGTAAATAGAAAATTTGCCAAAGAGAATTTGAATTTTTTTGTGATTCTACTAAAGGCACCACCATTCTGGGACCACACTATGTTAATTCTTGGCCTAAAGCTGTTCGGACGTATGTTTGGACTGCACATTTAAACACTTTTTAAATTAGTTGCTGTAAATCATTAACGATTGAGTTTCTTTAAATCTGTCCAATCTCAAGTCATTTTTATGTGCCATTTCCAGGGAATGTGAAATGGGACTAATTTACCTCTGATTCTTCTTTATACTGAGGATAGAAATGTTGGTCCTAGCTTTAGGGAGGAGCTCCTGTGTGATGCCCTATCTTGGGAAACACTATGCATTTCTTTACTGTCCTATGTGATGTATGACAGTAGGAATCTGCACTCATTCATTTTGCTGCATGTCCGTAGGGCAAAATCAGTTTCGCTGTTTAGTTATATTTTGTCTGCTCCCTGCATTCCCATGGTTTTGATCTTACATTTTACTTTTATTTGAGAACATACCAGTGCTTCAAATTTTTTCCAGTAATATATTCAACTATATTATGAGAAAGAGAAAATAATTGATAAAACACAAATTTCATGTTTTCCTTCTCTAATTGTCTTTTACTTAAAAATACAGCTAAAATTTATTTGTGCTTTTTTGCTATTTCTGTTTTGCTATTCTCTGTTTGTCTATGTCTTCACCACATAGACACAATTAGGGAATTTTGTACACTCTTGTGCCAACTGCTTTGATAGGAACAAAATGTATTTCTTGAACTCCTAGGTATAAAACTCAAGTATCCACCATTTAAATTCTTTTTTGCTCACTTGTATTATGTTTCCAGTCACAATAGAAATCGATGCCAATCCAGAAATACAAGCATTATTCTAATACTTCTCACACATTACAGGTATAGATTAAATTTTCTAGATCTCCTTAAATACAATCATTTTTCACTACTTGTATCTTAACTGCTAAGTTCAGCATTTTCTATAATATTAATAAGTTGTGAAAATTTCCTTACTTTCTTATTTGTCCCAAGTTCAAGGTTTTGCAGTCTCTACCTCACCCTGTGAAGCATAAACATTGTACTATGCTGTACAAATATTACATAGTTCATGTGCTTAGAGATTGCACAATTTTTATTTGGTTGACAATAGCTAATGTTTTCTTCTTCATTTTCTATTTCCTGATTTTTCTTTATTTAGTATATGCTGCATTATCATAAAAATAAGAACGTTTTACAAACTAAAGCAAAAGCAACCCTAGGAAAAAAATGTACAAATAAAATATATAAACATACATTTAGATGTACCATGTACACTACTAATTTATTTAGACTTTTAATTGTAGTACAATTTTAATTAAAGTCTGTGTATTATCTGTCATCGTCTTAGTATTTTTTATATAACAAATTGTGTAAATCAAAAAGCCTCAATGTCATTATAAACTATCTTGGCAGAGGTTGATGTCCAAGGAATAATTTCTCTCCCAAATTATGTCAATCAGAATTTCACTCTACCATAATTCTTTAATCAGTTTCAGAGGAATCATAAATTTCAAAATTGTACAAGGTAGTCGTTGTAGTTCAAGTACATTTAGACAGGTGTAAAACTGTAGACAGACTGATACAAACATATTCTAATTGACACAAAATTATATGGGACCTATTTTAAAATCTAGACTTATAATGTCGTGTCAACGTACACACGTTCTCCTTGTGAAATAATTGCTTTTTATTCTCTGGATAGAATAATTTAATCTTTAAACCTTCAATTCACTGTTAAAAACAAAATATTACATAAGGATATGCTTATAAAAATAATTCGCAACTAGCTTTTCAATTCACAAATATATGTGAAAAATCATCAAGCATCTAATGGATTTCAAGGAGAAATGGGTTAGTAATTTATTCCATATGTCTCAATTTTTCCTAGATTCAAGGCTTCCTTTAAAACAATTGTAGACATTTAAGAAACCATGTCAACTTAAAAGAAGAAATTGTGACACTGCCATTTAGGTTTTCTAAATCTTTGGACACGAATCAATATACTTTTTAAGTTTAACTTAATTAGACATTGTGAGTTCACTATCTTCCTGTCAGTATGGAATCCAAGCTGATTATCATAGATTACAAGTTCAACTATCAACTGTGTTCTGAGACTCTAAAAAAATAAATGAATGTATTTGTTTGGGTATTCTTAAAGCAGGAGTGAGGGCACAGTGAAAGTGAGACAAGGAAGAGAGAACAAAATAAAACAGGAAAGATAGAAAAACCAGTACCACACGTGTTAAGAGGCAAGTTCCTGTGTTAGATATCTGGGCTTAATTCTATAGGAAGCTATGTGGAGCATGCCTCAGAATTACATCACTGAATCCAGGGAGATTCTTCTTAGTTACTCTCACCTATTCTTCCCACTTCATGCCCAGTATCAAACTCCCGTGCTGCTAGAGAAAGTCCTCAGCTAGAAACAGCTGCAAATTCTGGAGATGAGACCCTGTAGAGTGTTAAGAATGGTTTTCTTCCCAGCAGCTACAGGTAAGGAATAGGGGCTGGGCTATTAATACATCTGCTACAAATCAATATACCCCTTATGCTCCTTTTGGTGACCGACCATGTATTTAAACATATTAGATGATCAAGAAGGGCTGCAGAAAGGAGGAAAACAAAACAAACAGCACACCTCTTGGTTTATTTTTATTCATTTCATCAGTTTCAAGGAAATTGTGTTGGGAGTTCCTGGCATAGAGAAAGTCACAAAGATATGTTTTCAATAGTGGTGCTATCCTTAGGGCAGAGAAGATCCAGAGAAAGCCCAAGTGGCTGCTGGAACAAAGTCAGACACCGTGCCACCTGTCCACAATCCTTGGCTCTGCCACCATGCTGAAGATTGGTTTAAAGAACTGGCTTCCCTCCCCGCAAAATGAAAAGAGCACAAACTGAGAAACTGAATGTGGGAGACAGCAGTGGATTATGCTGTTCTCAGGGGTCACCTCAGGTTTGGAAGCATTCTTTCAAATTAACCCATCTCAGGCCATCTGCAGAGAAGAAAGGTGGTACCTAACTTTTTTTCTTGTCAGCACTTGGAAGGGGTGTTTTATTGACCAAATATGTTCCCACAACCTAGTTTTTTGTGACTAACTAAATATAGTAGATTTTTGAATTTTATCTTCAAAATCTATAGACAACTTTTTATTAAAATAGGCTCCACATCTATGTCCTGCTTTTCTTCTTATTAATTACATTGCTGTATAAAAGAACAGGACTTGAGAATCAAAAATATCTTGTCTCTTGGCATTGAATTTATACAAGGTGCTCTTTCTTTAATGCTCTCTCAAAGGACATATTTTTACTGATTAAAAAGGAAGATCTGAATCTAGTCGTATGCTCTGCTCCAACATATTAATAATTAAAATTAAGATGTAAATGTGGTCAAAGCTATAGAAAGAATTGAGATGTCATTTATATTGATTACTGTATAGTACTCTACAAACAGATATTGTAAAATAAGAGTTTATATAAATATTTTGTGGCATTTCAAATATTGGAGTGCCTGAAGTTTCTCCTCTTATATAGTTCAGATTATCAATTTGAAGACTTACTCGGCTGGTTAAAAAGTTTTATTCTCGTTTGTGTATTATATGAAAATAATTTTCTGTTAAATGTGTTCCGCTTACATAAAACATTAGAAGTTAGTGAGTATTTAATTACATTTTCGTGTTCCTGTAATGCCTTTAGAAGATTTTCATATTATTACGTATCAATATATGTATGCTTTGTCTAAGAAAAATCTATCATATACATCATTGAAATTTAAAAAGTACTTTTTAAAAGTACTTATTAATTCTATTGAAAAACCACATCCATAGGAGCAATTACAATATAATATTGTGAACATGTAAATATATATCCTATGTCTATTTTATATATAAGCATATGTGATTAAAAATATAGTGAAGAATTTTTAAACCTAGTATTATAATGTAAAAATTAGTTAAACTTCTGATGATTATTTGTTAATTAAGATAAAATTATTTTGATTTGGGTGATTTTAAATGAACAAAATTATTAAATTACATGACAAAAATTCCTTATAAAATGTTTACGATTTTTACATTGGTTTTATCACTTTATTCCACTATTTTATTTTAAGATGACCTGCCTTGTTTAAAACACTGTATTCGTCTTAATTAAATTAAATTACATTTGTAAAAAAATTAAAGAATGATTTGCTCTATTATACAGTGCGGTTATAAACTGAGTTAGTATCTCAAGATTTGATCCCCATTATCGTCATCCGTGGCCCTATTTGTTTGATAAATGTAGTGTCTTTTTCCCTGCCTGTCACATCTCTATTGCTCATTTATTTTTCCCCTTGTCCTTTATAGGGAGCATTGCCTATCTCTAGATTAAGCAAAAGTTGCATCTTAAAAAAGCACAATGACCTGCTCAAACTTTCTCACACAGAGAAATGTTTGTTAAGTAATTAAAGTGTAGATGATGATACAAAGAGCTTGATTAAAAAAGATGCCAAAGTATCCTTCTGATTCAGAATATGAATAGTACTTAATGCCTTTGAAATCAATAATTGCTGAGTGACATTAATTAATGCCAATATTTCAGAAGTTGTTCTGGTTAGTGAAATGTGTACAACACGTAAAAATTTCCGAACTCTAAAGGGCAACATTATTCTATAGTTAAGAATTAAGAATTAATTCACATTAATTATTGGGGAGAAATAATTTTAAGAATTAATGACTGAGGAAACGTTTTTATTTTTTATTTAGAAAATTATTTTGTGCATGAGCATTACTGCCAGTTTTTCAAGAAACATAAATTTATAGAAACATTTATGTGCACAAGATGAATTTAATAACATCTTGATATTTTCCACTATTACAGTTGTATTTGGTAAATCTTTAAATGCCCGTCATCTAAAGATCATAAATGAATCTTGGAAATCTTGTAGGTAAGGGTAAATATAAGGATGCATCCAATTACATTTACACACACATACAATTACATTTACACAAACATACATGCACACACGCTCACTGATACAGGTATGCATATATATACATGAATTTACCAATTGATTTTAACTAATATTTATAAGAGCCTGTAGGATTGATATATATTTTTGAACCAGAAAAATATTTATTATATACATGTTTAAAATACACACAGAGCATTTGAAACTGTACTTAAATATAAGCTGTGATCATTACAAATTCTTACACTGAATAAATATTTTTATTTTTATAATAATATGTTTGATACATGCGTACATTTTTTAAAATGTATTATTTTTGTCATAGAGTCATGTCATGCATAATAATATTTCAGAGATGGATTACATATACAAAATTTGTCCCATGAGATTATAATACATATTTTACATACTTTTCTATGTTTAAGTATGTTTACATACATAAACTCTTACCACTGTGTTCTTATTGCCTGCAGTATTCAGTATAGTAATGTAGTACACAAGTTTGTAGCCTAGGAGAGAGAGGTTATGCCATATAACCTAAACGTGGTAGGCTGTACAAACTAAGTGTTTGTAATATTCTCTCTGACGTTTGCAAAATGATGAAATTGCCTATGGATGCATCTGTTAGAACGTATCCCTGTCATTCAGTGACGCGTGACTGTGATAAAATGCTAAATCTAAGTTTCAATGACCTCCATAAAATTGTTGTACTGTGAAATACAAATCTCTCACCTACAGCTTGAATATGTTTTCAAACTTAGCAGATCATGGGAAGGAGAATGTGCTGGCATCGCTGGGATGATTTTCTCACACTACATGAATAATATCTCCAGACTTTGCGAATATGAGCCACTTGCATAGAGTTAAAGTAAGCATCTCTTTGCTGGGAAATGTATCAAATGGGAGTATGAAATGTTTTTAAAAGATACTTGTTTGTTTGTAGACGGTAGGCCTACAGTGGCTCATGGCAATGGTTGAGGTTGCTAAGATTTGGTGGAAGAAGGCAAAATGAAATGGCCACTTATATGGTATATGGATCACTTGTTTCTGTTGAGTTACAGATTCAGCTGGCTATTTCTCCCAATGTTAGTTATTTGGAGAAAAGAAACATGATAGTAATTTTGGGGTAACAAATACAATATTGGATGAAAGCAAATTTATTGAGGGTTAGACAAATTAGAAGATAATTTAGGCTGCAAGTCAACACGAGACTTCTGGCCCAAATTGTGCAGAGTTTGTGTCCAGCTGCGAAGTTCAAAGGAAGAGGCCATATAAGATGATTCGCACTTTTGTCACGAACTACCAGTTCAGGGGTTTCCCCAGAACACCCTCAGTTTCAAGAATTTACTAAAAAGACTCACAGAACTCATTGAATGCCATTGTACTCATGGTTTATAATAGAGAAAGGGTAGAAATTAGGACCAATCAAAGGAAGAGACATATCACGTAAGGTGGAATCTAGGAGGATTTTGAATGTTAAGTTTCCATTGTCTTCAGGACATATTACCTGTCATTTTTGTACAGCAATAAACATGGAGTACTACCAAACTGGGGAGCTCACCTGATGCTAAAAAGACACTATTTAGAAAATGAAAAGACAAAGGAAAGGAGGAGATAAGATGACCTTCCACATTAAGGCACTGGAAAGAATAGCAAACTAAACCTAAAGCAAGCAGAAGGAAGAAAATAAAAAATAGAGAAATTAATAATTTATAATATTAATCATATTTGTTAGTGTTTACTAGTTGATATTAATTCTTGACTGACTTTTTTTAAAAAGAGAAATATTCACTTCCCAATTTATTCTGTGGGGCCAGTGTTACCTTGATACAAAAATTAGTCCGAATAGCATAGAAAAATAAAACTACTATTAGTATAAATGCAAAATTCCTTAAAAAATACAAACAAATCAGATCTAGCAACATATAAAAGAATTACACATTATGACAAAGTGAAATTTATACTAGTAATCTCAGGTTGGTTTAACAGCCCAAAATCCTTTACGGTAATACATCTTATCCATAGAATAAGAAACAAGAATTGCATGATCATGTCGATAGATTCGGAAAAGACATTTAACAAAATCCAAATGCTTTAATGATTAAAAATAAGAATAAAAACTCAATGAACTAGGAATAGAGAACTTTCTACACCAGATACATGGCACCTGTGAAAAGCCAACAGCGAGCATGCAACTTAATGGTAAAGGATGTTTTCCCGCTATGGTCAGAGATAAGAATAGGATATATACTTTGACCTCTTCTAGTCAACACTGTACTAAAGATTTTATGCTGGGCAAATCGGCAACTAAAAAAAAAGAGTCACCCATATTGAACAGGAAGAAATAAAACATTATTGGAAAATAACATTCTTGTATATAGAAAATTTTAAGGAATCCATTGAACGATAGAACTAGTAAGTTATTTCAGCAATATTACAGCATACAAGGTAAATGTACAAAAATCAATTACACATATCTACAATGAAAACCCCAACATGAAATTAAGAAAACACTTCAATTTAAAATAGCATCAAAAAAAGAAATAATAATTAATTTGGAAAATGTGATACAAAATTTTACTCTGAAAATTAAAAATTATTGTTTAAAGAATGTCTAAATAATTAGCAATCATCTTCCACCCATGAATTGGAAGATTTAATATTGTAGTACTTTACAAGCTGAACTACAGATTTGACGTAATCCCTGCAAGTATTCCAACAGACTTCTGCCTAGAAACTGACAAGCTGATTCTAAAATACACATGGGATGGTAAGGGACTCAAAATAGCCAAAATAGTCTTGATAAAAGAAAACATATTAGGATAATTCACACCCCCGTGCTCCAAACCTTACGGCAAAGCATCAGTAATCAAGACAACACAATACTGATGAAGGAAAATTATATAGATTGATGGAAGAGAATTGAGAGTCCATATATAAAACTATGTATCTATAGTCAATGGATTCTTAAAGTGGTGCCATGTGCAATTCAATGAGGAAGAGACAGTCTTTGAACACACTGGGTCAACAACGTACACGTGGATCGCCACCTGCAAAATAGTAAATTGGAACCCTTACCCCAAAGCATACAAAAATATTAACTCAAATGAATTAAAGACATACATGCAAGAGCTGGAATAAAGCATATGCGAAAATCTTCAGGATTTTGGATCTAGCAAAGAAATAGCTGTAACACCAAAAACATGAGCAACAAAATAAAAATTAGATATTTAAAATTTCTTAAAAATTAAAGACATTGGTGTTTCAGAGGACAACCAAGCAAGCCAAAAGGCAGCTCAAAAATTCTGAGAAAATATTTGAGAAATACATATATATATGTCTGCTTATATATGTATCTTGAATATAGAAAAATTGTTTTAACTCAATAACAAAAATCCCAACTCAAAACTGATAAATGATAGGAATACTTGTATATCCAAAGAAGATACACGAACGGTCAATAATTCCATAAAAAGATACTCAACAGCATCACTCATCAGGCAACTACAAATCAAAACCACAGTTAGATAGTCTATGGCTAGAACTGGTCACTTTGGAAAATAGGTTGATGGCTTCTAAATATATGAAACAGAATTGTCATATGACCCAGAAATTTATTCCCAGCTATACCCCCAGAGTATTAGAAAGAGGTGTTCAAACACAAATTGCACACAAGTACTTTAACAGCAGTATTTAAAATAGCCAAAGGCTGAACACAACTCAAATGTCAACAAAATATTATTGGATAAACAAAATGTTATTTCCATGAAATTGAATGTTATACAGTTTTAAAAAGAAATAAAGTACCAATACGCATATGAACCTTGATAGCATTATGCCAACTGAAAGAAGCCAGGCACAAAAGGCACCTATTGTATGATTCTATTTAGATGAAAATAGAATAGGAAGATCTACAGAGACAAAAAACAGATTTGTTGTTGCTTAGGATTGAGTAGGGGATGAGTGCATAGGAGGCTAACAGGTAGAGAAGGTGGGGTTTCTTTTTGAAGTGATGAAAATACTCTAAAATTCATTGTGATGATGGCTTCACTTATCTGTGTATATACTAAAAGTCTTGACTTGTAGACATTCATATGTGCACTCTACATTATGTAAATTATATCTCAATAAATCCTTTCAAAAATACAAAGAAGACTAAGGGGTTTTGGACTGTTGCAGCTGGGAGGCAGTTTGAAATACTGAATATGTCTCATCGAGAATGTGAGGTTTCAGTAAAGACTTGAGGAAGTTGAATGAGCTCATCAATGGATATATGGAGGGCTATCTTTCCAAGATAAGAAATTAACTAGAGTCTTGGTGATAAGGCAGCAACATGTTGGCATGTCCAGAGGACAGTGAGGTGGCCAGGACCACTGGTAAGTTCAAGGGTGAAGACAGAAAAGAATTTTGGCAGTTAACATGCGGCAGATCATGATGGGCTTGCAGACCATTGTAAGAATTGTGTCTTTTAGTGTAAATGAAATGGGGAGACAAATCATTATCCCATTATCAATATTTTAATGAATTGTATCCATGAACCAAATCCAATGAGATTAAATCAATTAGTAATAATATGCAAATTTGTATTAAAATTACCAGAATTCCTTTCACGTTTGAGAACAGGAGAGTCATGATTGTTTATCAGCAATAATAAACTATTAATTTTAATTGTCATCAGCTAATTGAGATTAATTGCAATACATCATGCTTTAAAATGTGACTGTCAAAAGGAAAATATGATTGTAATCTTATACTACATCTATCAATGTCTTTGATTCATAGGACTATAGACTAAGCCCCTAGTTTTCAAAGCCAACTGATGAGGCAGCGACATCTTATGCAAGTTTGCTGCTTTCTGCCACAGTGACACTTGGTCAGCTGACACAAATTGTTTTACAACACCACTAGGTCTAAAAAAAGTTTGGATCACAATGAACACAGAATCACCTTCATCCCTTCAGAAATACCTATCAATTAGTTCCAATACAGAATGAAAAATTGACAAGGGAAGTATGTTGATTGTAAAAATGCCAGATAGCTTGCATCTACATGAAAGAAAAATGCCATTTTTATTACAATAGATCATTGTTTTACATGAGTTTTGGTATAGCACAATGTTGAACCAAGGGCAAAGAGAGATGAATTAATGAAGTCTTAAGATATCAAGAATTTGAAAGAAAAGGCAGGTCATCTTTGAAGGTTAGTGATATAGCATTCATCTTCTGTTGTCACCTTTTCCGTCATTCCCTGTATGCCTGATGGACAGCTTTCACTCAAGTTCAGAGAACAGCATGCAAAGATTAGCTACCAACTAATTTTCATGAAGTGAGCTTAATTTCTAGCCAGACTGAGCTTACGTTTTAGCAGGAAGCATTTTTGGGAAATGTTTATGTTAGATTTGGCCCTTCTTGACAAGGTGAGACATAAATGTCTACTTCATTGTCATGAATTCAGATGGGAAGATATTTGGGGTAAACATTTTCTCAAATGCTAAATAACAAAGGTACACAAAGGGGAAATTTTTACTAGATTTCTTTCCCACTTGTTTTCTATGTCTCATGCAATTCACCTTGATTCCCTTCAGTTTCTGTTTAATGTAGAAAGTCGCATTTTCATTATTTTAAGCTTCTAGCGCAACGAAAGAATTTCTCTTTTTCATCAACTGCATCATAAATGAAAGGGAGGAAGAGTATCCAATATCATATTTATTGTTCAACAAAACACTGCTCCACTGCTTAAATTCAGTTTAAAAAAGAGAATTTATTGAACATCTAACACGTACATAAAAAGCAGTAAAGACACATGAGAAGAGGGCAGGATATTGAAGTATACAGACTTTAATGCTGAGTTTTGTATCTTAGTAAGTTACTGCACCTTACAGAGACTCAATTTCCCCTGATTTAGGAAGGCGATGCTAATGGGTATTGCATAGGTGTAAGTATAAAAATATTGTATTTAAGAGAATCCCACAAGCTTGGTATAAGGCAGAAAATAAATAGATGTGACATTAATGAGTAGTTTATTACATTTGTATGCTACCTGCAGACTAGAGGAAGCAAGAAACACATCCACTATGCTTGATTAGCATTATATTCTAATTTGGAATATAAATAGAAAAGAGAAAAATAGAAAGCTATGCATAAACACATGCATTAAAATGAATTTTATGTGGACTCTTTCAGGAAAATGTTCCTAAGGTATTTTATTTTTTTATTGTGGTAAAATACACATAACATAAAATGTACTCTGTTAACCAATTTAAGTGTACAGTTCAGTGGTACTAAACAGAGTCATAACATTGTTCAGCCATCCCTACCATCCATCTCCATAACTCGTTTCATCTTGTGAAACTGAAACTCTATACCCATTAAACAGTACTTCCCCATGTCTTCCTCCCCCCAGCTTCTGGCAATCATCATTGTACTATCTCTATGATTCTGTCCACTTTAAGTCTCTTACACAAATGGAATTATACTGTATTTGTCCTTCACTGACTAGCTTATTTCACTTGGCATAATATCCTCAAGTTTCATCCAAGTTGCAACGTATGTCAGAATATTTCCCTCATGTTTAAGGCTGAATAATTTTCCATTCTATGTATATATCATGTTTTGCTTATCCATTCATCTGTGGTTGGACACTTCAATTGCTTCTACGTTTTAGCTATTGCCAATAATGCTGCTGCAAACATGGATGTGCAAATATTTTTTCAAGACTCTGCTTTCAATTCTTTTGCTATCTTGAGATGTGGGGCTGCCGAATCATAAGGCAATACCACTTGGATGTTTGGAGGAACTACCATACTCTTTTCCACAGCAAACATAGGGTTTGGCATTCCCTCCAATATTGCAAAAGGAATCGCCACATCCTTGCCTGTGGATTTTATTCACAAGTCCTGTGGCTCTCTCTACATCCCGGCCACCATGTGTTATTTCCTGTTTATATATATGACATCAAAAGTGCAGGAAGTAATGAACTAAATGGGAAGGAAAAACATGTAGAAAAATAGAGGTAAATACTGACTACATAAAACCATCAGAATAAGAATTTTGGATGATCTATCTATTATATATCAATTTATCTATCATCTATCTGTTCCTCCCTCTGTAATTAAAATATATTACAGTTAGAGAACAGAGAAAAAAGTAGGAATCCATGAATTTAAATTTTAATTCTTCTTAGATTGTCTCACAGCATCATTATATGACACAAAATGTATAGGTCATTATCTGTTAACTATAAATGTAATATTTTTTAAGTATTCAAATACATTGAATTGCAGAATGAATAACATATTACAATCCATTCAAGTTTATTTTATTCCAGGAACACAAAAATACAAATTTCATTTGCAATTCAAGAAAAACAGAAATCGATACATATGATTGATGTATATACACATTTAATGTATTTTTAAATATACATTTTTAAAAAATAAAATTTTTCTAGGACAACTACTTAAAATATCACTGAAAATAGTGTTATTAGATAATACCTTCCTAATAACTCTGGTATTACAAAAGAAAACGAAATTAAAATTTCAGATAAGCTTAGAAACTAAAAATTTTAAAAATATTCTGTTCTCCATATGTTCATATTCAATATTATTTCTTGTTTTCATTCTTCTTCAGTGTTGCTCTACTAAAATATAACATACAATAGTTACTTTTGATTTCTGTTCTTATTACTCAAAATTGTATAATTTTTCTCATGCTCTTAATTTAGCTATGCTACTTTTTTTTACTCCTGGAATTTTCACATTTGTGTTCACTCTCCTTAGAGTTCCCATAGTATCAAATAAGCTTTTTGCCCTCTTTCTGATTTGAAGGTTCATCTTCTCATAATTATTTTGTCCACTCAGTTTCTTTTCATTCTCACTTAAGTGCCTCTCATCTGGCTTCTTTTCGTTTGTAAGGTTTCCTTTCATCTTAAGCCAGTCTTTTATTTATATTTTGATTCTGTTTTTTGGAGGACATGCTTCCTTGAATTTTAAGGAAGAGGCCAAAAGGTTTGTTCAAGTTTTTACCTGATACACTGGATTAAATTACCTAATGTACACACCCTTAATTTAAGTCTAGGGGCGACTGTCTACTCTCGATTTTGTATAGTATTATTTTTCTTAACATCCAAGTCCATCTTCATCTATTTATATATGATCAATAAAAATATATTTGTCCAGAACCCTGCTGTGGTGGAGTTACTTCTTTCTAAGTAGGAGAGGTAGCAGTTGAGACATGAGCTGGGTTCTGGGTCAGTTTAGAGGGCTGGGCGACATTCCTCCTTTTGGTCTGTATGACTGAATGAATGCCGTTCTTGCTGTCTCGCTCCTCTCCTTAACACATTGAGCCATTGCAGCAGATGAGAAGGAATAATCCTGATCTGCCATTCAGGTGGAACACTTGTTCTCTCCAACCACATCCATAGGTTGTACTCACACTCGGCCAGAATGTATCCTGTCAATGATATGGAGATGTATCTAGCTATCTAGATAGATATCTACTTTGTTTATGCTCTCTGGTTGCCCGCAAATTATCTCCTTAAAGTGAATATCAAAAGAGAGCTTGGTGATGGCAGTGTTATAAAATCCTCAAAATGCAGCACCCACACCCAGAGGAATTTGTAGATTCTGGGATTCTAATTCAGATACCAAACTATATAAAAGGGGCATTGGTCATTGAGGGTTGCTAGGCTCTTTGTGGAGCATATTTGCTCTTTTCATGACTTTGAAATTATTTTAAAAATCTAACCTTTTTCTCGGTGTGCTGCAAGATGATTTGATTTTAATGCACAAGCACTAATTCTCCCCTAAGATTTGTACAATATATTTGCTCTGACAAGCCATAGCCAGAAACTCACTTCACAGCAATTTATAGCATTTCCACCACAATTTGAATTATTTTTAACTAGACTCTCTTTGCCTTAATAAAAATATGAAGAAGCAATATACTTGTTCTAGTTAGGTTCAAAAGTTGGCAGTCTCTCTCCTGGAAAGAATAATAAAACTTTTCAGCGGCCTAATATGCATCTATAGACACACACACATGCAAGCACTATTCATAATATTTAAAGCACATTCTGTTCTATGACTTCATTTGTCTAGCACAAAATAAAACGATCTCAGTATATGTCAAGTACCAATTTTTTCGTATGGCCAATTATAGGTATTTTATTCTTTAAAGATTAGAGTGTTCTTGAAGCTCTTTCTATTTCTTTGTCAATGAACTAAACATTGGCAAATATGTAGGGTTTCCCACATAAGAACATTATTAACATCAAAATAGAAAGCTGGTGGTAGAAATATTGATTGGGAACACAGAGTTTCTACTCAGCGTTCTACTTCTGCCATACCATAACTTTGTGATCTCACGAAATATCTCTCCATGTTCTCATCCCTATGTATAGTTCTGTCATTTTTCAGTAAGAGCTTTTTGCTTAATTATGAAGTACTAGTTACTATAACCATTATTTTGAGCTTCATGTAAATCAAGAACACATGGACTCCACTTGCAAAACATTGAAAATGTAGTTAGGGATTGGGGGCACATAGCAACATTTTAAAATGTGTAAAGACAATGAGTAAGCAACAAAGTGTCCAATTTTTTAGGCGAAAGTTGCATACCTCAGGAAAAGGCAGGATTAAGTAACAGAGAATTTGAATGATAACTGGCCAATTGGTGTCGTTTACAATTGCAAGTCATACAAATGAAGTTTGCTTTTTTAAAGAGAAAAGGAGTTAGTTAGAATGGGTCAACCTATTGGGGAAGCAATGTAGTTAGAGACAATGCCCAAAACCATGTGAGCAAATGCTCTGTAGAGTGCACCCCTGCAATGCTGCCATTGTGAGGCCAAGTCTCTCCTTGTCTTGGTACTGAGCCCTCCGTTCTGCCTCCATCATTGCCACTGTAGCTGCCACAAAATGATCCCTCAACCACCGCTGCCCAGGAACAAAGAAAGAATTCTGTCCTTCCGTGCTGTCAGATCAATTTCCAACATCAGGTGAGACTTTGATGGGCACTATTCAGTACCCATATCCCTGAAATAGATGCAGTAAAAACATAGAAATTGCCTATGTGTTTCCCAATAAGACACATATGGAAGCTTGTTTTCCCACAACAGGAAGGGGTTTCCACGATGGGTGCTCAAAGGAACAATATTCCCTGTAAACCATACTTTGCCCATATGAAGAAGAGCAATGAGGATTATTTAGTAAATAGACATGCAAACTCATCCAGGGTTGGCTGATGAGAAGCTGGTTAGCAAGGGGGTCTGCCTTCAGTTAGGACAAGGTCTGTGCTTCCCACGGGTTCTCTCCACAGCAGGAGGGATGCAAACTTCCCTTTCCTCCCCTGCACCTACCCTCAAATGGCCCAGAGGTCTTCAGGTGCTAGAATTTCTCAATGAACGCTGCACAAAATAACAGACAGCCTTGACTGTCACTGTCTGTTCTCATGAAGCTAGTCTCTGCTTACTACATAAAACAGAAGAGTAAGAACAAGGGTGTTAAACACTGCCCTAGCTCAAACAAGTTTCTCTCTGTAGGATGCCAAGAACCTGGGAACCAGTGCATCTGCTGCTTTCCCTTCTCGGATTCTAGCCCAGACAAAAGAGGCAAGGAGCATTTCTTCAGAGGCCTTGAGCTTCACTACACAATGCCCCAGGCTCTACATGCACCCTCTTTATATATTTCTACCTCGAAAAAAAATTTTATATAATATTAATAATATATATTTTTATATAAGGAACACATATGTTTATTTTATAGATAGATATAGATATACATAGATAAAGATCTCTAGTCTGCCTTTTTGAAGACTGGGCTGATCGCGGTGCCCCAAAACTATAATCCCAGCACTTTGGGAGGCCAATGTGGCCAGATCTCTTGAGTCCAGGAGATGGAGATCAGCCAGGGCAACATGGTGAAATCCCATCTTTACAAAAATTAGCTACTATGGTGTCATGCACTTGCAGTCCCTGCTACTCAGGAGACTGAGTTGGGAGAATCGCTTGAGCACAGTATGTGAAGGCTTCAGTGAGCTGTGATCACATGACTGCACTCCATCTTGGGTGACAAAGTGAGACCCTCTCTCAAAATAAAATAAAATAAAAAGGCTACCACCATACTCACAGATAAGTGTGTCAGGTATATTTGCAGCTATCTTTCCTATACTCTATTTGGTAAAAAAAAATTGCAAAGAACTCTTCTCATTCTAGATTTTTGTATTAATTAGACATTTGAAGTTTATAGCAGAAGAGCTATAATCATGTTTGCTATGTGTACTCTATAGACCAGATAGTGCAAACATATATCAATGCTTTTTAAAAGTATATAAGGTTATTAGAAATATTTTAAAGTACCTATAGGTATATATGTATCTAATTGAACTATCAAATGCAAGTAAGATCATTTCCTTAGCGTGTGAAATGCACTCAATTTATTAAAATATTTTCTAATGTCTATTACAATAATATTTCTTAATTAGCTAACATAAGAGGAGTTTTAAGACATTTATTTATATGTACTTACTAGATTCAAACTCGACTCCACTATTTTCAGAAATCATGCTCTGAGACAAGTCTTTTTTTTATCTAACTGTTTCTACCTATATTAAAAGACAGATATATAAATTTTGCTAATCATGCTCTTCCAGACCTCTCCATCCTATTTTTCGGTTTGTTCTATCAGTCATTCAGAGACTTACTTATATTCAAATTTCTCTCTAGGTTTAACATTTGTGTATGTCTTCTGGTGTTTTTGTCTATTTTTGCTGTATATAATTTAAGACATTTATTG
Source organism: Homo sapiens (assembly GCF_000001405.40). Lineage (NCBI taxonomy): Eukaryota > Metazoa > Chordata > Mammalia > Primates > Hominidae > Homo > Homo sapiens. The sequence goes on from NT_187364.1 coordinate 38,241, forward strand.
ACATATACATGCAGAAAAATACCATGATTAAATATGGATAGCTTCATTAATGAAACACATGTATTTGCTGATAACCATGTATGAAAATAGAACATTACTAAAAATAGAGATACTTCTCCTGCCCCTTTCCAAACACTAACCCTCATCCTCAATAGTAACAGATTTTTTTTTATCATAGAGTAATTTGGTCTATTTTCAAATTTTTATTAAATAAATCACAGTATCTACTCTAAGTCTGTTTCTTTCATTGTTGTTATTTTGCTTACAGTATTTATCTGCTAATGGACATGGTAGATTAAAGACGGCTACATACACATTTTTTAATTAATAGATTTTTTGAGCACTTTGTGGCTTATGCCTCTAATCCCACCACTTTGGGAGGCTGAGGTGCGTGGATCATGAGGTCAGGAGATCGAGACCATCCTGGCCAACTTGGTAAAACCCCTTCTCTACTAAAATACAAAAAATTAGCTGATAGATAACATCAAGATAACATGTGGGTTCTTAGCTGCACTGAATCAAGCCTACCTACATCTTTGTTTGTCTTCCTCTGCACTTTTCCTTCCACATCAAACTCCAGGAATGCCAAGCTGCGCTGGCCTTCTACCCCATTTCCACTATTTTGCCCGAGCCGACACGGCTTTTTGCCGCCATGGATTTTTGACCCCGCCGCTGCGGGTTTTTGCGGCTTTCTGCCCCCAGCCTCGCGGAATTTAGCACCCGCCGCCGCGGCTTTTTGGGGCTCTTTGCGCTCACCGCCGCGGCTTTTTGCCGCCGCGGCTTTTTGCATCTTTCTCCCCCCGCCGCCGCGGCTTTTTGCCCTCGCCGCCGCGGCTTTTTGCGGCCTTTTTCCCCCTGCTGTCGCAGCTTTTTGCCCCTGCCACCGCGAATTTTTCCGCAGCGGCTTTTTGTCACCGCCGCCGCCGCGCCTTTTTATGGCTTTTGGCCCCCGGCGCCGTGGCTTTTTACTGCTTTTCGCCCCCGCCTCCGCAGGTTTTTCCCTCCGCGGCTTCTTGCCCCTCCGCCGCGGCTTTTTGCCCCGCCGCCCCGGCTTTTTGCGGCTTTTTGCTGCCGCGGCTTTTGGCCCCCGCCACCGCGGCTTTTTACGCCTTTTCGCCCCCCGCCGCCGCGGCTTTTTTCCCCCGCCGCCGCAGCTTTTTCCAGCCGCGTCTTCTTGCCCCCACTGCCCTGGCTTTTTGCGGCTTTTTGCCCCCGCCACCGCAGCTTTTTGCCCCCGCAGCCGCGGCTCCTTGCCCCCTACGCGGCTTCCTGCCCCCGCCGCCGAGGATTTTTATCACCCCAGCCGCTTTTTGCCCCCGCCGCCACGGGTTTTTGCCCCTGCCGCTAAGGGTTTTTGAGGCTTCATGTCCCCGCCTTCGTGGCTTTTTGCCGCCCCTACTTTTTGCCCCCTCTGCCGCGGCTTTTGGCGGCTTTTTAGCCCCTGCGCCGCGGCTTTTTGCGGCTTTTGGCACCGGACGCCGCGGCTTTTTGAGGATTTCTGCCCCCGCCGCCGCGGCTTTTTGCCGCCGCCGCACCGTTTTGCCCCCGCCGCGCCTTTTTGGCCCCGCCGCCGTATCTTTTTGCCACCGCGGCTTCTTACCCCACCACCGCGGCTTTTTGCCCCTGCCGTCGCGGCTTTCTGCCCCCGACGCTGCGGCTTTTTATGGCTTTTTGCCGGCGTCACCGCAGCTTTTTGCCCCCGCCGCCGCGACTTTTTGCCCCCGCCACCGCAGTTTTTGTCGCCGGGGCTGTTTGCCTCGGCCGCCGTGGCTTGTTGCCCCCGTCGCCCCGGCTATTTCCCCCACCGCCCAGGCTTTTTGACTCCACCGTTGCGGCTTTTTGCGCCCGCCGCCGCGGCTTTTTGCCCCCATCACCACGGCATTTTCCCTGCTGCCGCGGCTTTTTACCGACGCGGCTTTTTGCTGCCGCCGCCACAGGTTTTTACCGCTGCGGCTTTTTCACCCCGCCGTTGCGGGTTTTTTCCCCCCACCACCGCGGGTCTGTGGGCGGGATCGGCAGACTCGGCTGCCAGATCTACTGGCGTCCTGGCTAAGGCAGCGCCGAGGGCCACTCCTGGTCGAGCTCTCCCATTTCGGGGGTTCCTTGCCTAGACACCCACGCCCCAGGCTCTGTTCCTGGGCCGCTGCAGCCTGCATAGAGCGGCGCTGCACTTGGCCCCGATGGGAGAGGAGAAGGAGAGCGGTGGCGGGGGTGACGCAGCTGTCGCGGAGGGAGGCGCAAGGGTCGCAGCCAGCCAGGTGCTGCAGCAGTGCGGGCAGCTCCAGAAGCTCATCGGCATCTCCGTTGGCAGGCTGCGCGTGCTGTGCACCAAGTGCGCTGTGTCCAAGGACCTCACCCAGCAGGAGATACAGACCGTGCAGGTAAGGGGATTGGGGACCAGGGCTGGGCTCCAGCACCGGACTGGACATCTCCTTCGGGGCCCCAGTTCACTCCTGGCCGAGTTGCAACCTTGAGCCCGCGTCGCCCCCTTGGAGGCTTCTCCTCCCTCCTGCACTCGCTGATTCGGCAGCCATAGGACGCGGGACCAGCCCTCACCTTGGGCAAGATTTGTGGGGCGGGTGCGTGTTGGGAACTGTGATGGAGGCTCAAGGGGCCCGTGGGTGGGGTGGGCTGCGCGTGGACATCCCCTTACGCCCGGAACTTCCATCTGGTGCAGCCTTCCCATCTTGTAGGTGAGGAAACCGAAGGTCTGAGGGAGAAATGACTTGCCAGGAACCCCTGTTAAGGAAAATTAACAAAGTGTGGTTACCAAAGGAGAACTAAGTTCGGATTCAGACCTGGAGTCCCACACCCTTAGTTAAGACACTATACCACCTTGAGTCTGGCCTGTTGACTGAGGGTGAGCCACTCCATCCTCGTCTGATTGTGGGGTCTTGACCTCAAGGGGTTTCCTGCAGGAAGAAGCAAATGGGTTTCCTTTCCTAGCTCTGTCCAGTACCTTAGGGACCTTGAGAAATGGAGAGATTCTTGGAGAGCCATCTGGTGTATGTCATGGGTGGGCCTTGTTTGAAGGTCAGTCTGCCCAGTGGGCTGGCTCAGCCCGAATGAACTGTCTTGAATCTTTGGAGATGTCTGTGTACTTTTAAGGGTTTCTCATCCTTGCACCAAAAGATCCCCGGGAAATTAGGTGGGAAAACCTTAACTTTTATGGAGCCTTGTATTTGTCTTAAAAGTTCATGCACATAGCCAGGTGTGGTGGCTCACGCCTGTTATCCTGTCCTGGATCCCTTGAGTCAAGGAGTTTGAGACCAACCTGGACAATATACTGAGACCCCATCTCTACAAAAAATAAAATATTAGCCAGGAGTGGTTGTGCACATCTGTAGTCCTAGCTACTACTGTGGCTGAGGCGGGAGGAGCACTTGAGCCCTGCACTGAGCTGTGATCTCACCAGTGTACTCCAGCCTGGGCCACAGAGCAACACCTTGACTCAAAAAAAAAAAAAAAAACCAACAAGAAAAATTCTTGAAGATTTTGCATTCTGTCCCACTATCCATTGGTTTTCATGTCAAGATAATGTCAGAAATTCTTTACAATTGCTTCCAGAAGGAGTAGCCTTTTGATCTAGTGCACAGGTGTCCAGTCTTTTGACTTCTCAGGGCCACATTGGAAGAAGAATGCTCCTGGGCCACAGATAAAATACACTACTGCTAATGATAGTTGATGAGCTTAAAAAAAAAAAAAGGTTTGTTCATAATTTTCATGATACCCACCACCACAGATAGGCGGAAAAGTCCTTGTAGTCAAAGGGTTGGACACGGCTGATCTAGTGTCTTGTCGTCCGTTTTGGCTTCCTCCCTGATTCCAGAATGCAGGTAGAGATGTAGAGACATGCTCTCAGGACAGCTGTTGAGATAAAAAAAAAATTCTTGTCATTTATTCCCAAGGACAGCTGTTTGCCATTTGCATTGAAAAAGTCTCCATTCAAACTGCTGTCACATATAAAATCTATTTATATGTCTGTATTTTTCTGTTGTCTTGGCCTTTGTGGGCAGTAGTGTGTTTTAACCAAGCAAACTGTCCTTCCAAATAATGAAGCCGAAGTCAGCCTATCTGCTTGCCATTTTTCTTCCCCTTCCATTTCTCTAACCTCAGGATGATTGTAAGAATGAATTAAGATTTGTGTCTAAGGCCGGGCACAGTGTCTCAGGCCTGTAATCTCTGCACTTTGGGAGGCGGAGACGGATGTATCATTTGATCTCAGGAGTTGAAGACCAGTCTGGGCAACATACTGAGACTCCGTCTTGTATAATTAAATTAAAATTTAAAAAAAAGGAGAGAAAAGGAACTGTGTTTAAAATTTTAAAAAAGGAGGGAAGGTGTAATGCAAAATGTGGACTATGCTAGCTATGATTGGGAAAACTAGTTTTTCATACAGCATTATCTGTTGACTTGTTTTAGCAGCATACTGATCATAAGCGTTTTGCTTTCCTCAAATATGATGAGGTAAGCTACTTTAAAGTGTGGTGGGGCTTTCTTCCACATGGCTCCTGGAGGTGTTGAGTCCCAATTTAGCCAATTAATTTGGGTTTAGTTTTGATATGGATAAGGGAGACCGGCTTCATTCATGATGCACACACAGTTTTGCCAGTAAGGAAAAAAAAAAGCAACCTGAATTTTCCTACACATTAGATGCTATCTGGAGAGCTCCTACCCCACCGCCACAAAGGCTCTGGCCCTTAAAAAGACTCAATGCAGCCTTTCTGCATCTCATACGGTATTCTGCAAGATGCTCCTGTGAAAGAAAGTTGTGCTGCATCAGCCATCTCCCTCCTGAAGATCCCTGCGGATGAGGATTTGTGTTTTAAAGGTTCTCAGAAGTCCTGCCACAACAGTTCTCAAACTTATTTGTCCAGGGGATCTTTTCTTCCACTGAACATAGTTGGGGAGACACGGCCTTAAGCCTTGAGCAGAGAAAGAGACAAGAAACTGTTGGCTCACTTACAACCAAGTGTTGTGTTTATGTTTTAGGTTTTTATGAAACTGAGGTGCTGTTTGAGGTTCTGAACCAAATTGGGTGGTTGAATAGAGGCTCGTAGCCCTGTAGACTTAGCCAGCCATGAGAGGTTGAGTTTTGTTGAAGGAGGTCTTTTACAAAGGGAAATAGGGTGTTTCCTGGGCATCACATTAGCACTTAAATACATGTATCGCTGAAATGAAATGAAATGATTAAATGATGACATGAAATGAAATGATGAAATGAAATGATGAATTGATGAAGTGAAATGAAATGATATGATAAAATGATGAAATGTAATGAAATGATGAGATGAAATGAAATGGTGAAATGATGAAATGAAATGCTGAAATGAAATGAGATGAAGAAATGAAATGATGAGGTGAAATGAAATGATGAAATGATGAAATGGAATGATGAAATGATGAAATGAAATGGTGCAGTGAAATGAGGAAATGAAATGAAATGAAATGCTGAAATGAAATGAAGTGAAATGGTGAAATGAAATGAAATGATGAAATGATGAAATGAAGAAATGGTATGAAAAGATAAAATGAAATGATGAAATGAAGTGAAATGATGAAATGATGAAATAATGAAATGAGGGATGGAGCCAAGATGGCCTAATAGGAACAACTCCACTCTACAGCTCCCAGCATGAGCGACGCAGAAGACGGGTGATTTCTGCTTTTCCATCTGAGGTACTGGGTTCATCTCAGTAAGGGAGTGCCAAACAGTGGGTACAGGACAGTGGGTGCAGCCCACCGTGTGGGAGCCGAAGCAGGGTGAGGCATTGCCTCACTCAGGAAGCACAAGGGGTCAGGAAGTTCCCTTTCCTAGTCAAAGAATGGGGTGACAGATGGCACCTGGAAAATCGGGTCACTCTCACCCTAATACTGCACTTTTCCAACAGGCTTGGAAAACGGCACACCAGGAGATTGTGTCCCGCACCTGGCTCAGAGGGTCTTATGCCAATGGAGTCTTGCTGATTGCTAGCATGGCACTCTGAGATCAAACTGCAAGGCGGCAGCGAGGCTGGGGGAGTGGGGCCCGCCATTGCCCTGGCTTTCTTAGGTAAACAAAGCAGCCAGGCAGCTGGAACTGGGTGGAACCCACAACAGCTCCAGGAGGCCTGCCTGCCTCTGTAGGCTCCACCTCGGGGGGCAGGGCATAGACACACAAAATGTCAGCAGTAACCTCTGCAGACTTAAATGTCCCTGTCTGACAGCTTTGAAGAGAGTAGTGGTTCTCCCAGCACGCAACTGGAGATCTGACACTGGGCAGACTGCCTCCTAAAGTGGGTCACGGAACCCCGAGCAGCCTAACTGGGAGGCACCCCCCTGTAGGGACAGACTGACACCTCACTCGGCCGGGTAGTCCTCTGAGACCAAACTTCCAGAGGAATGATCAGACAGCTGAATTTGTGGTTCACGAAAATTCGCTGTTCTGCCGCCACTGCTGCTGATACCCAGGCAAACAGGCTCTGGCATAGACCTCTAGTAAACTCCAACAGACCTGCAGCTGAGGGTCCTGTCTGTTAGAAGGAAAACTAACAAACAGAAAGGACACCCACACCAAAAACCCATCTGTACATCACCATCATCAAAGGCCAAAAGTTGATAAAACCACAAAGATGGGGAGAAAACAGCAGAAAAACTGGAAACACTAAAAAGCAGAGTGTCTCTTCTTCTCCAAAGGAATGCAGTTCCTCACCAGAGAATAACTTTGACGATTTGAGAGAAGAAGGCTTCACATGATCAAACTACTGCGAGCTACAGGAGGAAATTCAAACCAATAGCAAAGAAGTTAAAAACTTTGAAAAACAATTAGACGAATGTATAACTGGAATAACCAATGCAGAGAAATGCTTACACGATCTGATGGAGCTGAAAGCCAAGTTTCGAGAACTACGTGAAGAAGGCAGAAGCCTCAGACGCTGATGCAATCAACTGGAAGAAAGGGTGTCAGTGATGGAAGATGAAATGAATGAAACGAAGGGAGAAGGGAAGTTTAGAGAAAAAAGAATAAAATGAAACGAACAAAGCCTCCAGGAATTATGGGACTCTGTGAAAAGACCAAACCTACGTCTGATTGGTGTACCTGAAAGTGACGGGGAGAATGGAACTAAGTTGGAAAACACTCTGCAAGATATTATCCAGGAGGACTTCCCCAATCTAGCAAGGCAGGCCAACATTCAGATTCAGGAAACACAGAGAACGCCACAAAGATACTCCTCAAGAAGAGAAACTCCAAGACACATAATTGTCAAATTCACCAAAGTTGAAATGAAGGAAAAAATGTTAAGGGCAGCCAGAGAGAAAGGTCAGGTTACCCACAAAGGGAAGCCCATCAGACTATCAGCTGATCTCTCGGCAGAAACTCTTCAAGCCAGAAGAGAGTGGGGGCCAATATTCAACATTCTTAAAGAAAAGAATTTTCAACCCAGAATTTCATATCCAGCCAAACTAAGCTTCATAAGTGAAGGAGAAATAAAATCCTTTACAGACAAGCAAATGCTGAAAGATTTGCTTGCCCTAAAAGAGCTCCTGAAGGAAGCACTAAACATGGAAAGGAACAACTGGTACCAGCCACTGCAAAAACATGCCAAATTGTAAAGACCATTGAGACCAGGAAGAAACTGCATCAACTAACGAGCAAAATAACCAGCTAACATCATAATGACAGGATCAAATTCACACATAACAATATTAACTTTAAATGTAAATGGGCTAAATGCTCCAATTAAAAGACACAAACTGGCAAATTGGAGAAGGAGACAAGACTCATCAGTGTGCTGTATTCAGGAAACCCATCTCACGTGCAAAGACACACATAGACTCAAAATAAAGGGATGGAGGAAGGTCTACCAAGCAAATGGAAAACGAAAATAGGCAGGGGTTGCAATCCTGGTCTGTGATAAAATAGACTTTAAACCAACAAAGATCAAAAGAGACAAAGAAGGCCTTTACATAATGGTAAAGAGATCAATTCAACAAGAGGAGCTAACTATCCTAAATATATATGCACCCAATACAGGAGCACCTAGATTCATAAAGCAAGTCCTGAGCGACCTACAAAGAGACTTAGACTCCTCCACAATCATAATGGGAGATTTTAACACGTCACTGTCAACATTAGACACATCAACGAGACAGAAAGTTAGCAAGGACACCCCGGAATTGAACTCAGCTCTGCACCAAGCGCACCTAATAGACAACTACGGAACTCTCCACCCCAAATCAACAGAATATACATTGTTTTCAGCACCACACCACACCCATTCCAAACTTGATAACATAGTTGGAAGTAAAGCCTCCTCAGCAAATGTAAAAGAACAGAAATTATAACAAACTGTCTCTGAGACCACAGTGCAATCAAACTAGAACTCAGGATTAAGAAACTCACTGAAAACGGCTCAACTACATGGAAAATGAACAACCTGCTCTGGAATGACCACTGGGTACATAACAAAATGAAGGCAGAAGTAAAGATGTTCTTTGAAACCAACGAGAACAAACACAAAACATACCAGAATCTCTGGGACACAGTCAAAGCAGTGTGTAGAGGGAAATTTATAGCACTAAATGCCCACAAGAGAAAGCAGGAAAGATCCAAAATTGACACCCTAACATCACAATTAAAAGAACTTGAAAAGTAAGAGCAAACACATTCAATAGCTAGCAGAAGGCAAGAAATAACTAAAATCAGAGCAGAACTGAAGGAAATAGAGACACAAAAAACCCTTCAAAAATTAATGAATTCAGCAGCTAGTTTTTTGAAAAGATCAACAAAATTGATAGACCACTAGCGAGACTAATAAAGAAGAAAAGAGAGAAGAATAAAATAGACGCAACAAAAAATGATAAAGGGGTTATCACCACCTATCCCACAGAAATACAATCTACCATCACAGAAAACTACAGACACCTCTGTACAAATAAACTAGAAAATCTAGAGGAAATGGAGAAATTCCTCGACACATACACTCTGCCAAGACTAAACCAGGAAGAAGTTGAATCTCTGAATAGACCAATAACAGGCTCTGAAATTGTGACAATAATCAATAGCTTACCAACCAAAAAGAGTCCAGGACCAGATGGATTCACAGCAGAATTCTACCAGAGGTACAAGAGGAACTGGTACCATTCCTTCTGAAACTTTTCCAATCAATAGAAAAAGAGGGATTCCTCTCTAACTAATTTTATGAGGCCAGCATCATCCTGATACCAAAGCCGGGCAGAGACACAACCAAAAAAGAGAATTTTAGACCAATATCCTTCATGAACATTGATGCAAAAATCCTCAATAAAATACTGGCAAACCGAATCCAGCAGCACATCAAAAAGCTTATCCACCATGACCAAGTGGGCTTCATCCCTGGGATGCAAGGCTGGTTCAACATATGCAAATCAATAAACGTAATCCAGCATATAAACCTAACCAAGGACAAAAACCACATGATTATCTCAATAGATGAAGAAAAGGCCTTTGACAAAATTCAGCAGCCCTTCATACTAAAAATTCTCAATAAATTAGGTATTGATGGGACGTATCTCAAAATAATAAGAGCTATCTATGACAAACCCACAGCCAATATCATACTGAATGGGCAAAAACTGGAAGCATTCCTTTTGAAAACTGGCACACGACAGGGATGTCCTCTCTCACCACTCCTATTCAACATAGTGTTGGAAGTTCTGGCCAGGGCAATCAGGCAGGAGAAGGAAACAAAGGGGATTCAATTAGGAAAAGAGGAAGTCAAATTGTCCCTGTTTGCAGATGACATGGTTGTATATCTAGAAAACCCCATTGTCTCAGCCCAAAATCTCTTTAAGCTGATAAGCAACTTCAGCAAAGTCTCAGGATATAAAATCAATGTACAAAAATCACAAGCATTCTTGTACACCAATAACAGACAAACATAGTGCCCAATCATGAGGGAACTCCCATTCACAATTGCTTCAAAGAGAATAAAATACCTAGGAACCCAACTTACAAGGGACATGAAGGACATCTTCAAGGAGAACTGCAAACCACTGCTCAATGAAATAAAAGAAGATACAAACAAACGGAAGAACATTCCATGCTCTTGGGTTGGAAGAATCAATATCGTGAAATTGGCCATATTGCCTAAGGTAATTTATAGATTCAATGCCATCCCCATCAAGCTACCAATGACTTTCTTCACAGAATTGGAAAAAACGACTTTAAAGTACATATGGAACCAAAAAAGAGTCCGCATCGCCAAGTCAATCCTAAGCCAAAAGAACAAAGCTGGAGGCATCACGCTACCTGACTTCAAACTATACTACAAGGCTACAGTAACCAAAACAGCATGTTACTGGTACCAAAACACAGACATAGATCAATGGAACAGGACAGAGCCCTCAGAAATAATGCCGCATAGCTTCAACTGTCTGATCTTTGACAAACCTGACAAAAACAAACAATGGGGAAAGGATTCCCCATTTAATAAATGGTGCTGGGAAAACTGGCTAGCCATATGTAGAAAGCTGAAACTGGATCCCTTCCTTACACCTTATACAAAAATTAATTCAAGTTGGATGAAAGACTTACATGTTAGACCTAAAATCATAAAAACCCTAGAAGAAAACCTAGGCAATACCATTCAGGACATAGGCCTGGGCAAGGACTTCATGTCTAAAACACCAAAAGCAATGGGAACAAAAGCCAAAATTGACAAAGGGGATCTAATTAAACTAAAGAGCTTCTGCGCAGCAAAAGAAACTACCATCAGAGTGAACAGGCAACCTACAAAATGGGAGAAAATTTTTGCAACCTACCCAGCTGACAAAGGGCTAATAACCAGAATCTACAATGAACTCAAACAAATTTACCAGTAAAACACAAACAACCCCATCAAACAGTGGGTGAAGGACACGAACAGACACTTCTCAAAAGAAGACATTTATGCAGCCAAAAAACACATGAAAAAATGCTCATCATCACTGGCCATCAGAGAAATGCAAATCAAAACCACAATGAGATACCATCTCACACCAGTTAGAATGGCGATCATTAAAAAGTCAGGAAACGGCAGGTGCTGGAGAGGATGTGGAGAAATAGGAACACTTTTACGCTGTTGGTGGAACGGTAAACTAGTTCAACCACTGTGGAAGTCAGTGTGGCGATTCCTCAAGTACCTAGAACTAGAAATACCATGTGACCCAGCCATTCCATTACTGGGTATATACACAAAGGACTATAAATCATGCTGCAATAAAGACACATGCACACGTATGTTTATTGCGGCAGTATTCACAATAGCAAAGACTTGGAACCATCCCAAATGTTCAACAACTATAGAATGGATTAAGAAAATGTGACACATATACACCATGGAGTACTATGCAGCCACACAAAATGATGAGTTCGTGTCCTATGTAGGGACATGGATGAAACTGGAAATCATCATTCTCTGTAAACTCTGGCAAGGACAAAAAACCAAACACCACATGTTATCATTCATATGTGGGTATTGAACAATGAGAACACATGGACACAGGAAGGGGAACATCACACTTCGGGGACTGTTGTGGGGTGTGGTGAGTGGGGAGGGATAGCATTAGGAGATATACCTAATGCTAAATGACGAGTTAATGGGTGAAGCACGCCAACATGGCACATGAACACTTATGTTACAAACCTGCACATGGTGCACATGTATCCTAAAACTTAAGGTATAATAATAAAATAAAATAGAATAAAATAACAAAATATACACTAATACAGATTAACCAACTAAAAAAATTGTGGAGAAAGGTCATTTAAAAAATATGAAGGATAGAGTAATAATCTAACACGTTGAAATCTAAGAAGGAGAAAACAGCTTGTCTGAACAGCATTTTAAGTGGCAATGTTAGAGGTTTTATCAAAATTGACCAATAATATTAAACGACAGGTTCAGGAGGCTTTTCAAAGCAAAGGAAAACTCACACAGAGGACACATCTAGAAACATAATGGGACAATTTCTGAAAAGTAAAAGAAAAATGTAAAGAGCACTTGATAAAAAAATTGGGCTAACTACAAAGAGAAAGAGTTGACTGATAACAACTTTCTCAAATGAAACAACGAAAGCCAACAAGTGAGGTATTGATATCTTTCAAGTCCTGAAATAAAATAAGTGCTGACCTAGAACTGTCTACTTGGTGGACATATCCATCAAAAGCAAAGATACAATAAAGAATTTCTCCCAAGCAGACCCTCAGGAAAAGAAATACTAAAGATTATTCTTCAGGTAGAAGAGCCATGATCCCTGATGAAAGTTTGCAGTTAGAAGAACTATTTTTTAATGAAAGAAATAAACATAGAGATAAATTTAATTGGATATTGACTGTATAACAGAATGCTATCTCATAAAGTTTAAAATGTATCTTCCATACAACAGCAGAAGCATATAAGTTGTGAGTTGGATAAATTAATTTTAAAATATTGTCAAGTATTTTTTTTCTCCAAATAGACATATGTACCAATTATATTAGACTCTGAATTCAAGAATGCACGTTGTATTAAACCAGGTAAAACATAACCAGACCAGATTTTTTAAATGGGCTCTCTTAAAGTTTTTATAATTTATATTCATATTTCACATATGTTGAAAGTAAATAATGGAAAAGCATGCAATGCAAATATTAACCAAAATATAGCTTTAGTTGTACTTATATTCACATTTTAAAAGTTGGACACAGTTAAGTCTCAGTGATTTTCTTACACAACGGAGGCAACCTGTGCAGTTATAACTAGTATTATATTATGCTCTTGGCCTGATTACAGAAGGGAAAGGAGAGATCATACAAGACAATGGCAGAATGAAGCAGCAAGGAGTAGAGTTACAGAACATGATGCTGTAACTGGGACTGGAGTTAAACTTTTAGAGTTAAAGAATAGTAAACTGGACAAAATATATGAAACATTTTTTTGAAGTACTGAACATCAGACAGCACAGGACTGTGCTCTGCAAGAGAAGAGACGGAGCCAGAATGAGTCCTGCTTTATTCCCAGATTCTCCGTGACAGCAGTAGAGAGGAATCCCAGAGAGAGCAGACATTGTCATTGCACTGAGGAACCAGATAAAAATCAAAAAAGGTTAAGCAGCTGGAATGTGTAGTAGAAGAGAATGTTTAAAGAAATAGGAACCAAGATTTAGCCTAAGGATTCTCCCAAGTCCCTAAGCCAAATGTACATAGGATGAAATTCTAAGGAGCTCAGCAAAGGACTCTACCAGGGAGTTGGAAGAAGAATAATTCCCTGGCATCACATGACAGGAAGACACGTTAGCTCTGACCAGCCAGAGAAGGGAATTCCCTCTGTACCTCCAGGATATTCAGTAAAGACCACTGGAGGTTCATACCCTAGTAACAGTGCTCATTGAGCTCCAAATTACAGATGGCTCTAGACTAACTCCACAAAGTTTAAAGAGAAGATTTAAAACAACAACAGACAAATACTCATCCTGAAGATACTGATCTGCCTGCCACAACATTGTTCAAAGGTAGCCAATAAAATCTAGATATTCAAGAGCATAACATCAAAATACCCCCCAAAAAAAAAAAACTCTGACATGCAAAGAAGCCGTAAGATATATATAATTAAGATATATACTAACAGGATAAAAATAAGTCATTTATAAATGACAGAAAAGAAGAAAATTTCAAGGTCCTTACCGTAAATATATTTTACAAATACATATAGATAAATACATATATATGTCAAGGTACTAAAATGAAAATTGAACATAGGAGAAAAATAGAAGTTATAAAATGAAAAATGTGACATGTATAGATGAAAAATAAATATTTGAAATAAAAATTCCATGAGATAGAATAAGTAATGGATTTTACCCTAACATCAGAAAATTTATAGAAAAAAATAGAAGCTTTACGAACTAAAGGACAAAGGGTAAACTAAAATAAGAAAGCTAGAAACTCACTGATACGTCAGACAATATGCAGCAGTGTAACATACATGTAATTAATATCTCAAAAAGGATGGGTGGGGCAATTATAGATGAATAAAGAATGGTACACTCATTCCTGAGGGCACCGAGGAGGGAGGATAGCTTTAGATTCCTAAGGGAGGATATTATGCATTCATGAAGGTCCAACCCCATGACCAAACACCTCCCAGAGAGCCCCACCTGCAACATTGGGGATCAAATTTTAACATGAGATTGGAAGGGGCAAGCATTCAAACCATAGCAAAAATTAAATTTCCTTTTTAAGAAAATCACTGATATGATTCCATTTCGCCATAGATAAAAACTAGTATTTCAGCCTACCATTGAGTGTGCTTATAGCTCACCAAAAGGGCACTCTGTCTCGGGAATACAGATTTGCCTAGAGGTATCCTATTGCAGTCAAAGAAAGAGCAATGAGGGATAGAAAAGGTTATTGATGGAGACACCAGCGCTGCATTTTGCAACAAACAATGTAAAAACTTTACGGATTAGTTCTGCTAACTTACTACAGTTTACATTCCTCTCAGGTGGGAGAATTGTTGCATTTTTTCTTAAGATAGAAAAGCAATTCAGGTAATCTGAAATCTCCACAAGAAGGATAAGAAGCACAGCAGAAATTATTCTATGCAGGAGGTCAATCCTTTCAACTGTCTTTGCTCCATAGAAACAATTGTCTGCACTGGGAGTCATATGAGGTACAGACAACAGCCAGACCTCTGATCCTCTCATTAGTGATTTCAGAAGAAATTACCAGTCAACTGAGTAACTCACTGAGTATAGTAAACATTTGGCACTGAAAGAGGTTAGACGGATAACTATTTGTATCACCGTATTCATAAAGCTGGAATATTTTCCATTAGTGGTATCACATCCGAATGGAAGATGTTAAAAGGTCTCTCATGTTGTAAGATGGCTATGAAAGAACATTTTCTGAGAAATGCAATTAATAACACACCTGCGAGGTGGATGGAAGAGAAAAAAAAGAATAATCAGCTTGAGTTATTCTCCTTGATAAGAGAACTCACTAAAAACATAATGAGAAAAATACAAATTTAAAATAATTAAGCAGAAGAAGACGACTCTATAGATTTTAAATTGCTGATAAGATTTTAATTTGCTCCAAGTTGAAAATAATTATATTCCTTGTGTTTTAAGGCACATAATGAGCAATTATATCACACATGATAGTTTCAGCAGTAAAATGTCCGTTAACAGCTGGAACTCATAAAAGCATAGCACAATGTGAAGATGGAATTTGCTCAAATAAGCCATCTGCTGAAAACTCATATTCTGCAAATTTATAAATAAAGTTTAAATGTTATTTGTCTTATTTAATAGGTCTGTGAAAAAAATGCGCTATTTGAAAATTAGCTGCTACCTTAGTTCTTTATATTAGACGGCTGTTTACAGTAATGCACAGTAAGGTGCTACATAGATATATTGCTAAATTTTCTGCATATGCTATGCATTTGGCTTAAATTATTTGAAATTTTATAGTTAAAATAACAAATTTATATTTAAATGTTTTGACACAAATTGCAAATATACCTTTAAAAAGCGTCTTACACTCTAAATATTATTTGTCACCTACATAATTGTCTTTTCTCTATAGGAAAGTTTAAAATTTTCCCTTGAAGCTTTAATTATTTGAGTCTATAAAACAAACTGATAATGTCCAAATTAATAGGAAAAAAAGGTTTACAGATATGTGCACAAGTATGCACTTGGAGTTTACATAATATATAAATATATCTATACAAATATTTGTATATTATAAAGAGATATACAAATATATACTCTTTATATAAAAACTCGAGGAAAGGCAAGGTAGTCAACACGCCTATGCTGTCTTGAGGTTACAGAAAACACAGAGCTGTAGATTGGTAAATCGGGCTTTGCAGAAGACAGGTGACGACAAGGAAGAAAGAGGAGCCTGGCAGCAGAGGTGGTCTTGTTACATGGATGAAACCTCACAGGGAGCAGCCCTCCTCTTGGGAAGTATAGATAGGAAATGGTTTTTAGAAATGTAAACGTGCCAGGCTCTGTTAATCTTTCCTAAACCCAGACAAGGGAGTATCTCAGGGAAAGCCAGTCTATATCAATGCAGATTTTCTCTACAAATACAAATCTCCCCAACAAACACAGCTTTTCAGCTATTCTTGTAGAAGAAGCTATCTCCAGTCTTCCGAGTAGCCATCTTGAAATACATCAAAACCTGGCCAGGCACACGCCTGTAATCCCAGCTATTTGGGAGGCTGAAGTGGGTAAATCACCTAAAGTCAGGAGTTGGAGACCAGCCTGACCAACAAGGTGAAACCCCGTCTCTACTAAATACAAAAAATTAGCCGAGTGTGGTGGTGCATGCCTGTAATCTCAGCTACTTGGGAGGCCGATCTGGGAGAATTATTTGACCTTGGGAGGCTGAGGTTGCAGTGAGTCAAGATTGTGCCATTGCACTCTAGCCTGGGCAATAAAAGCAAAACTCCATCTCAAAAAAAAATAATGTATTTTAGGGTAATATTTTGAGTATCTTTACCTCCGTATGTACAATAAAGATTATTGTGACTTTTAATCTTTTCTGTGGAGAAAACACAGGTGTGATTTCTATTGTAGCTGAACATCGTTTATTTGACAGTATTGCACTTGTGTGCGTGTGTGCGTGTGTAGCTACTTTTTAATTTGGTTCTCACATAATGATTAGATATTAACAATTAATTCAGTAAAATGTATGTTTTGCAATATTTCTCCATGTTATCATGCTTTAAATTAGTTTAATCATGCCCCTATAATATGTACATTTCTACCTTTGACTATAGGTCTCAATCTCACTTTGGATCCTGTATTTGAATTTATGCTAATAAAGTCCTACAGCTAAAAAAGATTATATAAACTTATCTACACTTTTGCTAGTATTCTGGTGTCATTTTAAATTATGTAATGAAATCAAATTTTAATTTGGATTATTGTTATCTGAGTTAAGGATCTAAATTTTTAATTTTCTTATAAATATTACATAATTATTTCTGAACCATATATTGACTAATCTGCCCTTTATATGATGTGTATTATAAGATCTCTGGATTGTTTCATTTGCAAAGATGAATGCTTGAGAAGTAGATATTTAATCATAACATTTCAAAATCTACTGGATAACCTAGAATTGAAAAATAGCCTATAGGTTGAAAAACTCCTGTAGTGAAGAAAGAAAATAACTAATATACAGTGACAATATAAATATTATAAGTATTTATTTTTTATCACTCTGAAATTTGATAATACAAACATGTAATATCTACATATCATCCATATATCAGGTCATAAAAAATCAATACATTCTTCAAAAATTTAGCATAACAGAAAATGCACTCTCTCTCCTTGATCGAATTAAGTTACAAATAAAAGTAAAAATAAGTAGATAAGTAGATGGAAGTAGATGTTTAAAAAGAAAGAAAAATATTTGTTTTGGATAACATAAAATCTCAATTGACAATTCCAATATTTCCAGAACTTTGCCTGTCAACTGGTGGAGAGTTTTCCCCAGGAGACATTTGTCAATGTCTAGGGTTATTGTGGGGATGTCAAGACTGGTGGAGGTGTGAAATTTAGAGGTCAAACGAAACCCCTAGCATTGCTAGGGCAGCCTCCCACAACAAAGAATCCTCTGGTCCTAAAGGTAAGTAGCACCAAGGTTGAGAAACCATAATCTAGACAGGAAACACTACGTAGCTATTCCAAGTGCTCAGGAAAACACATCAGTGCCCTCGAGGGGAAAAGTGTAAGCATTTTAATTGCTGTACATGGTGACACAAATCCATGTTGTTAATCTAAGTGGAAGGGGCTGAAGCACAAAATGTAATTCAAAGAGTTTACTTGAGCCACAATGAAGACAACTGCCTGGAAGAAACATACCCAAGTATCCTTGGATATGAACTCCCTTTGGAGCTTTGCAACAAGCAGTTTCTTAAAGGCACAAAAGGGTCCAAAAGTAGGATGATGCAAAGAGGTTTGTCACAAATTCTCATTGGCTTATGGAAATAACATTTATTAGTGACTGGCTATACACTGTTACACTATTATCGGGTGTGGATTATAGTGGCTGGTGTGGCGTTATTGGTTAATTTATAGCTACCGTGGCAACAGCAAGCAGCCTAGATGAACACACAGCACAAAGAGGAGCAGGACAGAACTGCTGTGTCATTTGAATATCTCTCTGGGCCTGATTATTTCAAAGGACTTGCATTTCTCACATGAAAGTTATTTTCTTTTCTCAATGTCCATAAATGAGAATAAATAGACGTAAAATAGATCTTTTCGAGGATGAAGTAAATGGAATGAAAAACAAAACCCAAGCTGACCAGAAATCATAGAGGGAAGAAAAGGTTATAAATATATGGATTTTTCAAAGTGATTTTAAGCTATTAGGAATCAGTTAAATGTTGGGAGATTTTGTCTGAGAATGGGCTAAAGGAGAATGTCCCTTTTGCCTTCTGAAGTTTCCCTGAAAATCACTAATAGGAGGCAGATAAATAGTAGAAAAGGCATACAGGTTTCTGCAATGTGTGCACACTGGAACCCTTAGAACGAAGACCCGGACACACGATGCGTGCAGAAGATTATCTACCACATGAAGTTTACAAAAAGAATGGGGTCTTGGATCACAGGGAAAAAAAAGGAAAGGTTATGTGAGAAAATGACCCTGGTGAGCAACAGTGGACTTATTACCTAGGTGGAACCTCACTGGGAGCAGTCCTCAGAGAGAATAGACAGAAAATGTTTCTTTCAGAGCTTTGGAGACCTCAGACTCTCAGTTAAACTTCCCTAGATCCAGACAAGGGTGCAGACCTCAGAGAAAGCCTGGCTGCATCAAGGCAGATTCTCTACCGATGCAAATCTCCTCCCCAAGACAGCTTTGCAGCTAACTTTGCATTTCCAGCCCTTCTCAATAGCCATTTTGATATATATCAAGGAAATATATTTAGGGGTAAAATATATTAGTTTCCCTCATACAGCTATAAAACATACAGGAATAATTTTTGTCAATGTCTACTACAAATCCAATATAGTAGTAATTATAAAACCCACCAGATATTGAAGAAAAATTATGTAGAGTACCTCAATTACAAATGTTGATACTAAAATGCCAAATAAAATAAAAATAATATCCAACGATATTTGAAACAGTAAGACAAGAAATTGACAAAAAAAAAAAAAAAACAAATATCCACCTTGGGGATGAAAATGTGTTTCCAAATTTGTTAATCCAATAATATTAATAATCATACTAATTAGCCCAAATGAAAAATAAATAGGGGATTCACAGTATATGCTAAAATATATTCGTTAAAAGGCAATATTCATGTCTTTAAAGATTTTAAATGCTATAAAGGGTCTGATATTCTGTATGAAAACATGTGTATGTCCATTAGAAGAAGAGAGGCCTGATTTTCATATGTTACTACATAGAGATAGAGAAGTGGATCAATTAATTTGTATATGCATAGAGAAAGCATAAAATAGAAATTGACTATCATATTAAAGGAATTTTAATTCAATAATAAAATAATTCAAAGGTAAAATTTTAAATATTTTAACAGGTACATTATTAATATTAGATAATATTTATAATAATTGTGAAAATGTACAATGCTAAAATAAGATACAATGTCTAAACATCAGTATTAAAACTAGTATAAATATTTGCTTGTTTATACAAGGAAAATTCAAGCTCGACCTAAAATTATATGGGAAATAAAAGAAAAATTTTAAGGGAGCTCTTTAATAACATAAACATATATATATATACACACACACATATAACATGTATATATGTTATATGGGATAGATATAGATTTAGCATGTTATATCTATATTTGTATCTATAACTACAGCTGTATGTATCCACATTTCTATATATTTACTCAGTGATATAGACTGGAATAAATACAAGGACATATATGATTCTTGGATAAAAAGGACTTAGTATCCTAAAGACAAATTCTTCTAAATTTCACTTATGAATTCACAACAATATACAGTTTCATTAGTATAATTTAAAGTTTTTAAATAAATTCCAAGATACGTTTAAAGGAATATACATGTATACAATCAGTCAAGAAAGAAGCAAGGGTGCACTAAACTAACTTGCTATTAAAATACATTTTTAAACTTAGTCAGTAAAACTGAGCAGTACTGATTTGGAGTACTGGAATTTAGGTATATGGGATCTCAAAAGCACAGAGCTCAAAGGAGACCCCTGTATGCACGAAAGCTTAGGATGTGCTTTGGAAGGCATTACCAAACCAAGGGCAAAGTTCCTTTAGTGTCTTAGTCTTACTAGGCTTGAAAAGCCAGAGAAAAGACTCAAGACCACCATATAAGAGCAAAACAAAAGGACAGGGAGAGAACGTGAAGAAACTGAAACATTTTACATCAAGTTGTATAAAAAATCCTTTAAAGAAAATGTAAAGTTTAGGATATACATCAAAATCAGCAGAGCCACTAAATAAATAAATAGGCATTGTAAAATAGCAAGAGAAAATTTAAATGGATTTCTAAAAAATATTGACACCTATAATTTTTAAAATATGTTTAAGAAATCCCGTATTTCACAGGGCAGCCTTTCACAACACAGATATGTTAGGACATAAAGGTCCTTCTGTTTTTAATTTACTAGTGTTTATAGGGTTACAAATGTCTTCTACCCTTGTCTTTTGTCTGATGGTGCAAAAATTTTACATAAGCATGTATTTCTGAATGCCTGATGGATTGAGATATATAATATACTGCTAGTATTAAAATATGAGATGGAAAACGCATCCAATCTTCTCACTGTTTACATAAATTCTAGGTTTCTCCTCTTTACCTCAAGGACGTATGGATCGAATTCTTAACTTTTAATATTGCCATGGCATTCACATTGAACATAAGTTGAACTCTCTCATATGGTAGATGGGTTCGGATTCCCTTGACAATTTCCAGTTCTAACCCTCACAGTTCCTCAGTGTGGTTGGCCCAGATATTGACCCTACACAGTTGTCTCCTCCTAGTGACTGCCAGCTATGGAACCGTTGGATACAACCTACGTGACTCACCCCACAGACCTCACAGCGCACATGGACAGCCCCCACACGCCAGAGTGACCTGCTCGGTTGCAGCGGGAGTCAAGAAATATGCCTGCTGGAACTCACCCCACCGACTAGTGCCCCGTGGAGAACTTATTTGGGTAATGTTCTGGGCCCAATAAAGGCTGGAGTCCCACAGACCCCTTTTCTCTCTCCTGCTCCCCACTCATCTTCCCTATTTTGTTCAGCCCCATGAGGTGTGCTACTGTAGTAGTCCATTTTCACACCGCCGGTAAAGACATGCCCAAGACTGGGTAATTTCCAGAAGAAAGAGGTTTAATAGATGCACAATTCCACATGGCTGGGTAGGTCTCACAATCATGGCGCAAGCTGAAAGGCACGTCTCACATGGCAGCAGACAAGACAAGAGAGCTTGTGCAGGGAAACTCCCCTTTATAAAACCATCAGATCTTGTGAGACTTATTCACTATCAGAAGAACAGCATGGCAAAGACCTGCCCCCATGATTCAATTACCTCCCACCTGTTCCCTCCCACAATATGTGGGAATTCAAGATGAGATTTGGCTGGGGACACAGCTAAACCCTCTTCTCAGCTACCCTCTTCTCTCTGGATCTGTGAGTAATAAACCTACTTCTGTGATTTCCCATGTTTGCTTCTGTGGCCTCCATGTGTCTGAGCTGACCTACACTGGAACCTAACTCTCCTCCTGGCCAGGGTCTCTGAGAGTGGCTCTTGTCAGAAATACACAGGACACAGGTCAGGCAACAGTCACCAGGCATCTCCTAGTCTCAACAGATGTTCCGTGAGAGGGAGGCCTGGTCGTGGGATGCACACCTGGCCACTGCTGGGGTAAGGAAGTGTCCTGTGAAAGGCACATGTTAAGCATCCACAACCCCCTGGCCAGAAACCCAGAAAGGCAGGGCTCCAATTGACAGTCACTCTCCAGAGACGAAGCTCAAGCCCTAACTGGAGGAAAAGAAAACAATGTAAAAAGTTGAATTTATCTTACTATTTCAATGATCCAGTAAAGACATTCTATACCTGTACACCACATATTTTCTTCGATTGTGGATTTATTTTAGATAGAATTTTAGGTCTGGCCTTCACTTTAGCCTGGTCCCTACCTCAAGCATAAGGTAAAGATTTTCCATGCGTTCTTTTCTGGTACTACTACCTGCCAGTGTGGGGTCATGTCCTAGTCTATCTTGAGGGAATCCCCCTGTTCATTATTGTCAGAGTGAGACTGTTAAGTCTTGATTTCCCTGGACAACTTCACTGTATGACTTTTAATATGATTTTTTAATATACCCTTTACTGGACAATAAATTCTATAGTTATCTGAGTAAGAGATATGGTCAGGAAGAGGCATTGCCTCATTCAGCTTTTCTCTTAGGTGAACTCGCATATGTTCTCGTCACCCGCCAGTCACCTCTAAACCGTATTGTTCCAAGACAACAAACAGATCTCGAGTGTGTATCTTTCACCACTGGATTTGTGTTTGCTCCACAAAGCTTCATGCTTAACAGAGTTTCTATTAGCATTTTCTCTATTTATTTTCCCATAAAATATCACAGGCCTTCTTCCTATGGAATTATGGGTGATTTCCTTCAATCTGCATCATATCAAGCTGAGGTTCATGTTGATGAAAAGTAAAACATACGTTGAAAATATCAGTAAGGATGTTTCCCCTCCTTTTCAGCACCTGTGCTTGTGATACAAGCACATTTTAATACAACTGCGGTCTCATGCTTTGATCATTCCTATGATGAAAATAACATTTTTAGATAAAATATCTGAGTTTTATGAGGCCTTTAGTATGTGATGTGATAGAATATCAGAAGGCCATACTTTTTTCTAGTTTTCCGTTCAATTCTATCATTGTTTCATCTACTCCTACCAGAGTAATTTTCCAAAATAGATATCTTGTCATTCTTCCTGTTGTTATCAGTAAATATGTGAAATGAAAGCTAGATTATATAATTTATCTAGAACAAGAAAGTAGAATTGAATCTGTATTCATTAATGAGACTAACCAGTCAATTACACAGACAGGCATTTTACATTTTGAAGATCATATGGACCCATTGTCAGAAATATTTTTATTTATGTCTATATGGACATCACCTGTGCATATTTACATAGAAATCAATGAGAGCTGATTTTCATTTTTAGTATATATATTTTTTGAGATAGGGTCTTGCTTTGTTGTCCAGGCTGGAGTGCAGTGGTGCAATCACTGCTCACTGTAGCCTCAGCCTCCTAAGCTCAAGCAATCCTTCCACCTTGGCCTCCCAAATAGCTAGGACAACAGGTGCACATCACCATGCCCACTTTTTTTTTTTTTAACTTTTGATAGAGACTGGGTCTTGCTATGTTGCCCAGGTTGCTTGTGAACTCCTGGGCTCAAGGAATCCTCTCATTTCAGCCTCTTCAACTGCTGGTATTACAGGAATGAACCACCATACGGGATGGAAGCTGATTTTTAAAATACTGAGATCATATAGATGACAGCACCTGAAAAATAGACAACACCAAGCTTTATGTTAAAAGGTGTGAGGGTATCAATATTGTTGTGGCTATTGGGGAGGAAACCATTAGTAAAACCAGTAAGTTAAAGCTCTTGCTTTAAACTTTGGCTTTAATTTAACAAATGTTCTATGGAGTGAAAGTATGTATGTAACCATGCTATGCCCATTCACAGATGCAATAGAGGGAAGAATTTCTCAAAGACAAATGTGCTAAGACTCAAATTAAACCGTCCTGGGTTTGAAAATAGGAAGTCCAGGAATTACCAAATATTTTAGATATCAGATACAAGAGAATGCCAGGTATGCGATGATAATCAGCAATGGTTGTTCACACAATACATCAAATCAGTATTTGAATTAGCTTTTGAATTACAAGGACAAATGGATCAAGTCTAGACTCTTTAGTAGATAAATCTTATTAGGCTGAGATGTGTTTTCCCCTGTTTTTCCACAAGGAGATTACAAATTGGCAAACCTCAGCTGCTCTCATTTTATGCTCTCACCAAGCCAAAAGCTGAAGTTCATCAATCAGTGTGTCTAAGGGTTCACTGGTTATATACCATTTTGTAGTTTCAGCTATCTTTCCAACTTCCTACATCATCACCTTCATTTGATCTTCTTTTTTTCCACTATCACTTCTTTACTGACCATATAAAGAATATAAGTAAGTTCTTATTTTGTTATTGTTCATTTTAGTCTAATTTCATCAAAAGATCACAATCTTTTAATTTCATTTTAATTTCAAAGATTAAATGAAACCTACATAGAAATGAGTGTAAGATTTGCATTTGCATTATTTTGGCATCAATTTGCTATCCTCCCTCATGCACATAGAGATCATTTCCATGTACGTGCTTTCAAACATCCAAGTGCAGTATTAAAAGCAGTTGTAAATTATGGCTCTCATTTTCATGATACAATTACAATATAAACTTCCTCTTGCTGCTGTAACCAATTACCATAAACTTCATATCTTACAATAAAGTGACCGTTAATCCAACAGTTCTGTAGTACAGAAGCCTTAAATGAAACTCACAGGGCTAACATGAAGTTTTGGGCAGGGCTGCAGTCTTTCTGAGGGCTACTTGGCAGAATCTATTACTTGATTTTTTTCAGCATCCAGAGGCCACCTTTATTCCTTGGAACATGACGTCATTCTTAGATCCTAATTTTCTTTTTCCTTTTTTTTTTTTTTTTTTTGAGATGGAGTCTCCTTCTGTCCCCCAGGCTGGAGTGCAGTGGCACGATCTCAGCTCACTGCAACCTCTGCCTCCCGTGTTCAAGTGATTCTTCTGCCTCAGCTTCCTGAGTAGCTTGGACTACAGGCACTTGCCAAAACGCCCAGTTAATTTTTTTGTATTTTTAGTAGGGATGGGGTTTCACCATGTTAGCCAGGATGGTCTCGATCTCCTGACTTCGTGATAAACCCACCCCAGCCTCCCAAAGTGCTGGGATTAGGCGTGAGCCACCGCGCTGGGTCCTCATTCTTGTATCTTAAAAGTCAGTGATGTTGAGTAATTTCTCATGCCACCACCTCCAAGGTTGCCTTTCTTCTGCCTTCTTCTTTCACTTATAAGGAAGTTTGTGATTTCATTGATCCCACCCATTTAAGACAATCTCTCTATCATTTTTCCGCAACATTAATTTCACTTGAAATCTAATTTCACATTGCCGTGCAACCTAACATATTTGTATGTTAGACTCTGGGAATTAGGACATGAAAATTTTTGGGAGGCCATTCTTTGGCCTACAGCAGACATGATCTGTTTACCTGCAGATTAAAGCATTCCTTATTTTTCTGTCTCTCTCTCTTAATTTTTTTAAAATAATATTAATTGTAGTAAAGAGAAAGAAAAGAAAACAAAGAAAGAAAAAGAAGGAAGGAAAGAAGGAAGGAAGGAAATAAAGAAAGAAGAAAGAAAAGAAGGAGGAAATGAGGGAAGGAAGGGGAGGAGGGAGGAAGGGAGAAAGGCAGGAAGGGAGAGAAAAGAAAGCATGAACACAAGAAAGAAAGAAGGAAAGAAAGAGAGAAAGAAAGAAAGAAAGAGAGAAAGAGAGAAAGAAAGAAGGGAGGAAGGAAAGGAGGAAGAGAGAATGGTAAAAGGGAGGAAGGAACAGAATCAAAGAAAATAAAGAGGCGATGGAAGGAAGGAAAAAGAGGAAAGGAAGGGAGGGAGGAAGGAAGAAAAGGAGGGGGGAGGGCGGGAGAAAAAAGGAAAGAAAGAAAGAATATGAGAAAAGAAGGGAGAAACGTGAGGGAGAAAGGAAGGGAGGGAGGAGGGAAGGAAGAATAAGAGGAAAGAAAGAAGGAAAGAAGGAAGGAAGGAGAAAAAAGAAAGAAAAGAAAGAAAGGTAAAGAAAAAAGAAAAAAGGAAGAGGAAAAGAAAGGAAGAAGGCAAGGGAAGGGAAGAGAAAGGAAGATGGAAAGAAAGAAGGAAGAACGCAAATATTAGAAATTCTGGGTTTGTTAGAGAATATGCCATACTGTTTTTTTTTTCACTTGAAAGGAAAGAGTATCTGCCATTGAAGATTGGATGTCTTGTTGGTGATATTGTTGTTCTTATCTTCCATATGATTACTGAGTTAGTGCCTAGTCTTTCCATTTCTAAGACAAAAGTGTTGATGTCGGCAAATATAATTTTGGATTTTTCCAGTTCACCTTTGATTTCTTTCCTGTTTTACCTCATGTATTTGGAGGTTCTGTTGTTAGCTGCATACCCTAATTAGTAGGATGTTTACATCTTCTTGAGAATTGATGATTCTATTATCTGCTATCTCTCATCTCTGATACTATTTCTTGTTCCGAACTCTGTTGAGTCTAATATCAATGTAGTCCTTCCACAGCCTTATTTTAGTGTTTCCATGATATGGCTTTCTCCATATCTTGATATCTCCATATCTTGATATCTCCATTCTCTTTATATCTCTATATATTTGGAGCAAGATATAAAATTTGGAATTGACTTTTTAACGATTTTTCAAGATGTAATTCTTATTTCTTTTTGTTCTAATTGACATTCTCTGAGTTTCCTATATTTGAAGTTTGATTTCCTGTCACTTCTTTTAGAATATTTTTGGCAGTTATTTTGAAAAATATTTCTTTTGCTCCATTATTTTTCCCTCTTTTCTTTTTGAGATTTCAATCATAACTAGAGTAGGTAATTTCATCTCAGTCTTATGCAGGTACTTTTTCTCAGGGTCTCAGGAATGTAGCCTTCTCACACTTCTGTTCTTTTCCTGGCTGTGTTGGTGAGCTCAGTGATATTCCTCCGTCACCTTCAAGAGCAGTTTTGTTTTGTTTTTCCTCCTTTCATACTCCCAGCATCAGGAGTATTCTAAGTGTGGCAGTTTTTGTTGCCTTCCCCTACATATTAAGTGGAATATCTTGCTCTATTTGGACTCTTATGACAAAATAACAGACCGGGTGACTAAAAAACAACAGATATTTCTTTTTTCACACTTCTTGAGGCTGTAAGATCTCAGGTCAAGATGCTCACAAATTCAGTGTTGATGAGAGCCCATTTCATGGTTCATAGGTGGTGCCTGCTTTCTATGTCCTCACATAGTGGAAGGCACACAAGAACTCCATTGAGCCTCTTTTATAAAGGCACTAATCCCATTCATAAGGGCTCGGCCCCCAAGACCTGGTCACCTCCCAAGTGTTCTGCTCTCCCTGATCTGTGTCATATACAGACTCTCTTGGACTCCTTATCAATTGCTTGAGAGATCGCAGTGGGTTTGTGGGGAAAAAGTTTTCAAGATGATGGATCTTTCCCAACCTCTGCAGCTGTCAGCGGTCTCCCAATCTCACCAGCCCCACTTTGTCTCTAGGAATTTATTGATTATTCCAGCTTTACTTGTCATCGTGGTGCCTATTTGCATCTGTCCTATGTAAGTGCATCCGTCCTCTTTCTCCTTGCAGGTGCTTGTTTTCCCTCACATTTTGACTCACTTCTTGGCAACCTCGTTGCTATAAAAATAAAGTCATGACTTTGAAGTTAGTTTGGGTCTTTCATTGTTGTCAGGTTTGGAACCCTATTCCATCCCAGATGTCCAAAACCCAGACTTTTTGGGGGTGGAAGTTTTAGGCTTTCTCTTTGAATTGTAGTTTTATCTTCTTTCAGTTACCATTTGCATTTTCTTAATGATTAATGAGACTAAGCTTTTTTTGTGTAGTTGACTGTACTTTTGGATTTTTTTCCCAAATACCTTTTTATTTCTTCTTTTCTTTATGGTTTTAGAAAATGTAGTTTACATAATTGCAGCTTGATTTTTTACTCAGTTAATGGCATGCTTAATGGTGTGAAAAAATATTAAATATATTTCCCTTTTAAATTACACCGTGCTTTTTTCTTTTCTAAGGAAATGTTTCATTATGTTAAATTTCAGTGTTATTCTACTTAGCTATTCCTTAAATATTATAGTATTTTGGATCTCACATGTAAATTTGTAACATATCTTGACTTTATTATGTATAGAGTAAGACTATTTTCTCTTTTTTGTTTTTTAAGGTAAAAATCACATAATATAAAATTAATAACCACCATTTTAAAGCATACAATGCACTTGCTTTTACTATATTCACAATGTTCCAGGGCAATTTCATCATGTCCCTTCCAAAAACCCATTATGCATAAAGTTGTTACACCCTAATCTGCTTCCCTGAGCCCTAATGACCACTAATCTGATTTATATCCCAATTGATTTGCCAATTCCTGATGTTTCATGTGAATAAAATCAAGTAATATTTGTCCTTTTGTGCACTTAACAGAATGCTTTCAAATTTCACCAATATTATACCATATATAAGTACTTCATTCTTTGTTATTGCTGAAAATTGGGTGTCCATTTATGAGTCAACAAGCATATGGATTGTTTCCACTTTTTGACTGTATGAATATTACTGCTGTAAATATTCATGCACGTGTTTATTTTTTGAGCACCTATGTTTTGTAAGATTAACAGCTGACTTAAGAGAAACAATGGAAGCAAGAGGCAGTAGAATAATATATTCAAAAGATGCAAAGGAAAAAAAACTCTCAGCCACGAATTC
>NT_187365.1:0-40176 GCF_000001405.40 Homo sapiens
AAACTGTGCAGCCTCTATGGAAAACAGTACCGTGGTTCCTCAAAAAAATTAAGAAACTAGAACTACCATATGATCTAGCAATCCACTTCAGGTTATTTATCTGAAAGAATTGAGATTGGGATGATTCTCAGGCTCATTGCAGCATTATTTACACTAATCAAAATGTGGAAATGAGGTTAATGTCTATTGGCAGATGAATAGATAAAGAAAATGTGGTATATTCATACAACGGAATATTATTCAGCTTTAAAACAAGAAAGCCCGGCAATATGCAACATGGATGAACGTAGAGGACATTAATGCTAAGTAAAGTAAATCAGTCACAGAAGGACAAACTGTATGATTCCACTTGTATAAGGTATCTAAGATAGCCAAATTCATTAGAATCACAGATTAGAATGGTGATAGCTCTTTAAGTTGAAATCAATGTTGCATTCCTGGGTTTTGTAGTTTTGCTATCAGGATTCTGACTCATAAAACAAGTTTGGAATTTCCCCCTTCTTTATTTCTGAAATAATTTAAAAATTTTATTTTTTTTAAACGTTTGAAAGAATTCATCAGCAAAACTCTTTGGATCTGGAGTTTGCTTATTTTTTATTTCTTTAGTTTTATGTTTTTATGTGCAGGTATTTGAGAATTAATTTAATTACTTTAATAAATGTCAATTACTTCATATGTTCCATTTAATCTTGCGAATTTTTTTATAACTTTTTTCAAGGAATTCACCCTTTCATCCAAGTAATGAAAATTAGTATAAAATGTTTCACAATATTCCATTATCTTGTTAAAGTCTCTTGTGTCTACAACTGTACAATCTCATTAATCCCTGATATTTATAATTTGTGTTTTCTTTCTTTCTCACAGAACTAACTTTTGGCCATGATGATTTTCTCCTGTTTCTGTTTTCTGTCTCATTGATTTCTAATTTCTGTTTTATTTCTTTTCTTCTACTTGTTTTGGACTTGATTTGCTCTCTTGTTTTAGATTTTCTTTTTAAGGTAGAAAATTAGTTCACTTGTTTTGAACTTCTCTTTTTCAGAATAAGCATTTATACAAAAAATTTACTCTGGGTCTGCTTAACTTTATCCCATACATTTTGATATAGTATATTTTTATTTGTATTCAGTTCAATGTATTTAAAGGTGTTTCTTATGATTTCTTCCTTGCGCTAAAGGGCATTTTAAGATGTATTTAAATCTTCCAATAGTGTAGACTTTCCTGGGTAGCTTGTTTTTACCCATTTCAACTCATTTTCATTATGGTCAGAAAGCATACTTTCTATGATTACAGTGTTTTGAAACTTCTTGAGAGATATTTTGTGGTCTATAGCCTATTGATAAATGTTTCATGTGTAGCATAATAGAACATATATTCTATTGTCTTGGTCAATATCGATTATGTCAAGCTGTTGTCAAAATTATTTTATCTTAATTTTCTTTAGTTATTCTGTCAGCAATACAGCATTATGTCTTCATAATTACTTGACATTTTATCATTATGAAATAGCTGTCTGTTGTAATATTGCTTGTTTGGAGGTCTACTTTTTCTTATATTAATATAGCCACATAAGGTTTATTTTGCTTGTTGTTTCCTTGGTATACTTGGAAATTATTTTACTCTCAAATTATCTATACCATAATATTTGGCATGCATCTCTTATAGGTACTTTTATTAGCCAGTTGGACAATCTGTGTTTTATTTGGAGTATTTAAATTACATTTGAAATAATTATTGAAAAGTTTGGATTTAAGCCTACTATTTTTGCTTTTCTTTTTTTTTTTTTTTTCTTTTTTTGAGACGGAGTCTGGTCCTGTCACCCAGGCTGGAGTGCAGTGGCGGGATCTCGGCTCACTGCAAGCTCCGCCTCCCGGGTTCACGCCATTATCCTGCCTCAGCATCTGGAGTAGCTGGTACTACAGGCTCCCGCCGCCATGCCCGGCTAATTTTTGTATTTTTAGTAGAGACGGGGTTTCACCGTGTTAGCCAGGATAGTCTCGATCTCCTGACCTCGTGATCCACCCGCCTCGGCCTCCCAAAGTGCTGGGATTACAGGCTGAGCCACTGTACCCAGCCTATTTTGCTCTTATGTTCTATTTGTTCCATCATTTTTTGCTCCTCTGTTCTTTCTTTCATGCCTTTTTATATTAACTGAACAATATTCAGGGTTCCATTTTAATTCCTTTATTGGCATTTTAGAAGAATATCTTCATATAATGTGGTGGTTCTCTAGGGATTATAATAAACATCCTGGGCTTATCGCAGTCCACTTAGTGTTAATAGTCAGCGTTTTCATGTAACATAAAGAAAAGTTGCGGCAAAATTGTTGCGTTTAGTCTCCTGTCAGAGCTATTAATTTAGAATATTTTACATACATTATCAATAGTACACTTAATTTTTTATTGAAACCATCAGTTGTTTGTTATAAAACTAAAAGAAAAAAGCCTTAGTTTTTCATGTTTATGCACATGCCATTCCTAGAGCTTCTCCTTGCTTCCTGTAGGTCAGAATTTCCATCTGTTGTTATCTTTAGCCTAAAAAATTTCCGTTTGCATTTCTTGTATCTAGGTCTGCTAATGACAATTGTTCGAAGCTTTCTTTTATCTGACTAAATCTTTCTTTTCTCAAGAATTACTGTTTCTAGTGATAGAATTTGGAGCTGACAGTTTTCTTTTATTTTGAAGATGTAGTTTCATTGCTTTTTAAAATGTCATTTCTGATGACAGGTCATCTGTCTATTTGTTTCCACGTATGTAAATTATTTTCTCCCTCCCTTTAGCTACTTTCAAGATTTACTCTTTTTTTGCCCAGTGGTTTGACTATGGTATGTCTACATTTGGTTCTCTTTATTTTTATTCTGTCCTTTGAGTTTCTTAAACCTGTAAATTGATATATGCTGACAATTAGGAAAACTTTTGGTCTTTACTTTTTCAAATAGCTTTTTCTGTCTCATTTTCTTCTCTACTCGTTCTAGGACTCCAATTATATTAGTGCTAGACTGGCCCTATTTTTATTATTTTTCTTCCTTTTTATTAACTGTATTGGGAAATTGTTCTTGATCTGTTTTTAAGTGCACTGATAGTTTTTTCTGCCATCTTTAATTTACTGGTATGTGCATACAATGACATTTTTATATAAGATATTCTGTCTCTCAGTTCTAAAATTTGTCCTATTATCTCTTTATCGTTTTTACTTCTCTGTTGAGATTCTCCATATATTCCCTCTTATGACCATCTATTCCTTAAATCCTTGAATATGCTTGTAATAGCTTATTTTAAATTTCTTATCTTCTAATCCCAGCATGTGGGCCATTTCACTGTCTTAATCCATTGTTTACTTTTTTTGTTATGCGTCATATTTTCCTGGTTTTATGTCTAGGCAGGTTAAATTATATGTTAGATTATGTGTATGATATTTTGTAGAGATAGGTTCTTCTATTTTCCTTTGAAGAGTGAATCATTTCTAACATTAGTCTTCTTTCTGTAGTCAAACACCAAACTTTCACTCCTGAGCTATATGCAATGGTTGAAATCTCTGCTCTGTACTAGCAATTTAGCTGTTGTTTTCTGCTGGATTCTATGGAGTCTCTTTTTATCAATGTGAAATGTAGCAGCCATCATATATCTGAATGAAGTTTAAGTGCTGATTTTAGATTTTTACTCTGTGACATTCTCCTCTGTGACTTTCAGTTGTGTGAGATTTCCTCCCATGTCATTCAAATTTCCCAATTCTTCTTTTCTGTCAACCTGGAACTCTGTGCTCTTATTCCTCAAGCTAGTAAAACTCACCGCTTTACTCGTAGACATCTAATTTTGCACAGACTGGGAAGCGTCATCAGGTGTGAAGTTGCATTGATGCAAATTTAAATCATTGCAATTTTCTTTATTCAATGGTCAAATACTTCATCAGTGGTTGAATATTCTACTATTTCTGCCTGTTTTCTGTTTCTCGTTACCATCAAATATGTATTTAATTTTTTTTAGAGTTAACAATTTTTTTCCCTGCATTTGAGTTAGACCTGAGCTACTACCGCATTTTGTAATTCAAACTTTTTGTCTAACAATGTTTTAAAAAAACTCTTTATTTGGAGGGAATTCTCAAATTTCTAAATACTCTACGAACATTAGGATCAGGGCTCACATTCCCAGTTTCCCTTGTAGCCAGATGTACATATGGAAAATGACCTCAGCTAATGAAGCATACCCACATATTTGAAACTCAGAAAAGTGTTAAGAGGAACTGTAGATATCATTTTAGTTGATGCAAGGATGGAAAAAAATAACCAACTTTCACTGGTGAACTTTGTCTTCAATCATTGTTTTCCCGTGGGTAAGTGGCTAATTTTCTGGCCTAGAGGTGGAATTGGTGTGTTGGTAACAATTGATTTGATGATAACCTGCTTTTGTCTTTTTAAAAATTGCTAATCCACCATTGTTTCTGGTCCTGTTTTATACTTACGCAGTGTATAATCTCTCATGCAAAATTTAGTTCTTTGTTTCTCAGCTTAAACTGGATTTTGATGAGCAGTTTTCACCTTCAAATGAAAGAAATGGCTTTGGTTGATGTTAGACAAAAATAACAAGAGGGAATTAAAGAAATATGTTTGTCATCTTGTAATATTAAATAAATGAAACTGAAAATTCAACAATTCTGCTTCATAAAAAAATAGAAAGTTTCTACTGTTTTTCATTATTTTTGAAGCTATATGATTAAATGAAATTTCTGCCTCATGGAAGGTTTTTAGAACTATGTAATAATACCATACAGACCATTAGGAGAGAAATGAATAAAGACTGAAAGAAGTAAGCACTGTGTGGTAACGTAGATGGCACATAGTTGTGTGCGTGGAGCCCTAATACATTTTACCATGGAATTTATACAATAAATGTTAGTTTCCTGTGAACCTGCTAATTAATATGACTTTCTCAGACATTTCCTTAACCTAAACAGTTTAGGTTTCCTGTAGATAGACTGCATGTATTCTCATCTTTAACCTTTCCATAATCTTCCCTAATTACAGATGTCATTGGTTCTTAATAGCAAAAGAACAGCAGTAGCTTATAAAGTTATATTATTTGTTTTTTACTAATATGTGAAGTGATTTTGTCTTTCATTTCACCTCTAAAGCTAATTATGACTTCTAAGTTAACAAAAATTCCAGATCATACCATCATTAGTTTAAACTTTACAATGAATTCATTCTTTCCATTTATTACTAGCCTGCATTATAGCAATATTTAGCTAATGAATTCTCAAAATATTTCTTGAAAGGTGAAAGAGTACCTCAAGTAAATGGTGTAATTAAATTATTTATCAGATTTTTAAATTAAGTGTTCTGTTTAATCTCAAAGGGGTACCAATGAAGTTAGGGCATAAGGAGTCCATGGTTAATAAAATGGCAAGAATTAAAAAAGATTATTACATTTTTTCCTCATACTATGATGGCTATAATTTTTTAAAACAGTAGAAATGTTTAATTTTTAAAGGCTACTAGTGTCTATTTAATTCAAAGATGTGAGGTCTTCAGTTCAACTTGTTGTTTGAAATTTGAATAGCTTTTTCTTGCTGTTGTTCAATACAGTTATTAAACAGTCCAGGCAGGCCTCTGGAGTTACATATATGTATGTGGCTATGTGTGTATATATACATAGAAGTATAAATAGCATACAATCAATTTACCTAATACTTTTGCTTTTGATGAAAATTCTTCTAAAAGTGAATGTAAATTAATAGCATATGGAGCCTACAAAAATTGTCTAATAGGGAAGTAGGAAAATATAATTTGTGAAGAAAAAGTTCGCTAAAACAGACTTTTTATTTTTACATGTAATAACTTTATATTGAAGGGTTTCCAGAAATATAAAATGTTATAGGGCACTTATCCTGAGACACACGAAGGAGACAAGGGATAGAGCTAGGATGGAAATGAAAATAAAGGACAAATAGAGATAGATACTTAAGTGGAAACGAAACACTGCATGTTCTCACTCATAGGTGGGAATTGAACAGTGAGAACACATGGACACAGGAAGGGGAACATCACACACCAGGGCCTGTTGTGGGGTGGGGGAGGGGGGAGGGATAGCATTAAGACATATACCTAATGCTAAATGACGAGTTAATGGGTGCAGCACACCAACATGGCACATGTATACATATGTAACTAAACTGCAGGTTGTGCACATATGCCCTAAAACTTAAAGTACAAAAACAAGTCATCAAACAGGTGGTAATTTTAAAACATGGCTTTTCCAGGCAGCAAATTTTCTGAATGTATCGCAAAAGAAGATAAATTGTGTGTCTATGTAGATCATGTCAATGAAATAAACAATAAAGGTTACTTATTGGAATATTGAAAGTGGTTGATAATAAATTAATTATTTATATCTATGGTAAAAGCAATAAACTTGATTTTTAGGGGGTTCAATGACTTCCTGAAAATATCCTCTCACAGATTTTCTCAGAGTGTCTAGTTGGCAAAAGCACAACTCCAAATAGCTATTTCTGTCAATGTCTACAGAACATTTACAGTTCGATTTCCAAAAGTTTCCATTTCTACTGACCTTACAAATTTGTAAAATGAATGCCCACCAGAAAAAAATATTAAGTGATAAAATTAATTGGATCCTACAAGTGAAAATCTAGGCAAGGAAAATCTTCCTTCTTAATGAATGATTTTTATGTCTCTTCATTCTTGTCCTTCTAGGTAGAGCAACACTCTGGAGACCTTCTTTTGAGGCATTTCACCACCAGAGTAAGTGTGATGTATGACTAATTAGTCCACCCACAGGGAGCTGGTGAAATTAAATTGGAAGTTATTTCTTAACTGGCATATCTTGGAGTAAAATTCATCTAATAACAGCTTTCATAAGAGTGCATAAGCTTAAAAGACAACATTTTTCATTCAACTTTACCAAACAAAGTGCAAATTTAGGTGTCCAGTTGTGAAGTTTGGTTGTGTGTGGATTGTACAGTGAAGGTACCAGTGGACAACAGTTGCTCATCAAGCAAGTTTATACAAAAGCTTTCGGACAAGTCCAACTCTAGATAAAATTCTAAAGTATTTCATGCTTGTGTTCAGAGTTTCTTTTTCTCTCTCCAAGGTAACACACATATCAAAAGACATATGGGTTGTGGGTAGAACTTCCTAAAATTGCTGGTGAGAAGTGTGCCATGCATAAACATACTTCACTAGCTTGAATTTTCTGTTAGTCTCACAGGAAACAATTACAATCCTGTATGTTTTTCTATCTCCACACACTCCTGAACATAGAAAGACCAAGTAACATCCCTGGTTAAGATGTGTACAGGTTACAAGACATGTCTAAATATATTCACCAAGAAGTTTATTATTTTCACAGTGGCATTCACTAAATCAGTTGTCAGTGTAGCATTACTCAAGGAATAAGCAGGGTCTTTAATTTATCAAAGTTTAGAGTCCACCCCAAGTTGGTTCACTGAAGCACATAACTATAGATAAGGTCACTCAAAAGCACAAATCCAGGTAATAAATATTCAGTAGTAGTTTATATGCATTTAGCAATTTGAATGCTGGGAAATGTAGCCCAGAAAATCAATCGACATTGAACTATTAAAGAGGCATTCATGGCACCTGCACTTTGAATCTCTTCAGACTCAGGTTAAACAGGAGACACGGTAGCTCACGTATACTGCAAAAACCCTTCCTCTTTCCCTTTTTATCTATGAACCTGCCCTTTTCAATGTTATCTAGATGCCTGAAGGTATGAATACCCTTGATCTTAGTAAAAAATGGTACCACCCATCAGCAAAATCTCACTGATCAGTGTCTATGTTACCTCACTGAGTTAGCCTTTTGTGTTGTTGTGGCCCAGGATGACAATGTTGACAGAATCCAAACCAGTAGTTGGAAAGTTAATGTTGGATACGTCTTTGACAATTGATGGAATGACCTGAAATCAAATGTGAGGCAGTGGAGACACAAGAATGCTATTCAGGCAGTGAGTGATCTGTGGAGATACTAAATGAAATATCTGGAAGGAATTGTAATCTTGCAACTATGCTTTTATGTGTTTTTTGACATAAACAGTTTCTATTTATGGTGGAGCTGCAGTGTTCATTTCCCATGAAGTTCCCATAGTGTTAACTAATACAGTCATGTGTCACTTAATGACAGGGGTGTGTCTGAGAAATGCATTGCTGGACAATTTTATTATTGTATGAACATCACAGAGTTTACTTACACAAACCTAGATGCTATAGCTGATTACATGCCTAGGTTAGGTGGTATAGCCTATTCCTCCTAGGCTACAAACCTGTGCAGCATGTTACTGTACTGAATACTGTAGGCAATTGTAACACAACAGTTAAGTATATCCATACTTACTTATATCTATACAGTAAGTGTATCTATACATGTCTAAACATACAAGAGGTACAGTAAAAGTACAGTGTTATGATTTTATTGCACCACTGTCATACATGTGCACTATCCTTGACCAAAATGTTGTTATGTGATGCATGATTGTAACAAAAGAATTAATTAAATATAATATTGAAGTGCCTATAGAGATTTCAATGAAGAAAGGAATATTTGTAAATTCTGATTACCTTAAGTGGGAATTGACTTTCTTCCTGTTTCCATGGCTGTTCTTGTGAAAGAGCATAGCTTTCCAAAGACCTGAAATCTCTGACAAATCTTGCAATTCTCTATTGCCTGCATTATGAAGGTCACCTGGTGTCAAATGAGGCAAAATGGTAGATTATAAAGACCTGTACTTTCTTGTCAGTTCCTAAACATAGCAAGCATTGGTCTATCTTGAACATTTCTGCCGTTATAAATGAGCCTTGGGTCATGATTTTCTGCCTTTTTATCATAGACAAGATTTAATTTAGGAGATGTCCTTTTAATGTGTAATGTGAATAGTAAGTGCCACTTATGAAGCCTATTTTCTTCCAGCCATTTTAATTGTCAAATCTGTCCAGTCAAGATGCATTGTTAGAGGCTTCGCTGACAACACCGTCTGTGTGTGTGTGTGTGTGTGTGTGTGTGTGTGTGTGTGTGTATACATACATATGATTGAGCAGGATTTATTGTAAGTCAAAACAGTCTCAAATTTCTTAGGACAATACAGCTTCCTTAGCCATTCCCTTGGAGCTCTGAGTTGAGGAGCTGGTGATGTGTATTTCTTTTGCATGTTCTCCACATTATCCCTATGCAGGCCTTCCATGGGCTTGGTTTTTGAACCAGTGATGAGGAAGATCATTAGAACTGTTGTTCTCAAAAAGCTTCCTCCATTCTTCTGTATAAGCAATGGCAATTTTCCCAGACCAATATTTCTTCTTTTGAAATGGTAAATTTTGAATATTAACTGGTTAGTATAATCCCATAAAATAACAAAGTTTGAGCCCTATGATCTGTGTTTTAGGCTAAAGTTGTGTTTTATGCTAAATCATCATTTACTCCTTGTATGATCTTTTTTTTTTTTTTTGAGACAGAGTCTCACACTGTCACTCAGGCTGGAGTGCAGTGGCACAATTTCGGCTTATGGCAAGCTCCGCCTCCCAGGTGCACACCATTCTCCTGCTTCAGCCTCCTGAGTAGCTGGGACTACAGGTGCCCACCACCACACCCAGCTAATTGTTTTTTAAGATTAAGGGTGAAATAAAAGCTGCTCCCCTATGTTACATTCATAAATCAGAATTATTAAAGCAAGCTATTTATTTATTAGAAACACATACTCCAAATTTAGCATCTAAGACATGACAGCCTTTCAAGAGACATCAATTTACTTTTTAGGGTCTATAGCTATATTTGTATTCATGTTATTGGTGTCCATAATATTTCATTAGATGTTCTAGGTAAATTGATAAATGAAAATAATGTATGTGATAAGGAGAACAACCTAGACCTCCTGGAGGGCCCCTTACAACTCAGCTGGTGTTAGCAGAAATGCCTGGGTGTAACAGTGAGAAACAACCTTTCAAAAGTTTTGAGCAATTTTTCAGGCAGAGGAATATGTATACCAACCCAGGCATCAAGATAAGTGGAGGTCAGTTAAAAGATCAGGGTGTGATTACATTTTTTTTTTAGGTTTCTACTGAGAGGAAATATAACATTCAGTTATTATTTTCTCTGCATACCTCTGGTTATTTTGTCACAAACTTTTATGTAAGCTACTACCAAACACTTGGTTATCCAAGATCTATGGGTCGTATTCAATATTTGCTTTTCCCTCAACTACTAACACATTTGATTCCCTTTGTAACTTTCTCTCCTATTTCTCCTTTCAACCTGTTTTCTCCAACCACACTGAGTTAATAAGCCTCCTATATACTCTCATAACCTGTTTTATCTAAAGAGATTTCCTTTTTCTACTATTATACCCATCTCATTCCCTAATTTATTTATTCTTATTTCTCTCTCTATTTTTTATTCTTTTAGGCATAGCTCATGTCTCATGACTTTCAAAAAGTTTTTCTTCTGATATTCCCAGCTCGAATTAGGTACATCCCAATCAGTTTCCTTAGACTTACAACTCTGCAAATTATTGGCTTGCAATCTGTCTTAGGCTGGGAATTAGCTCCTTGTAGGCAGGGGCTAGAATTTATTTCCTCTTATGTCCATAATGCCTGACACAGGAACTATTCTCACATACAAATTGTAGGGCCATAATTCCTGAGAACATATGTACATTGTAGTGACTCATAAAGGCTTGAAATAAATTTTTAAAATGATTAATTGGGAAGTCCATGAACTTGACATCTTGATGTAGAAGAAAAGCAAGGGCAGATGAAGAAGTTATACACGATACTTGAAATACCAGAAGAATATAATCAGAGAGCAATAAATTAATCCTAGATTTTTAGATGTGAAGAAGTTCTGAGAAATATTTGAAGACATGGCTCTAGGGATGAGTACATAACAGAGACCAGTAGCCAGAGTCAGAGCTTTTCAGAGTGAAGAAATTGCATTGCAGGGGGAAAGACTGTTGTATACTAAATAGAAATTGTCATTAAATAGAGACTAAGCAAGAGGCTGATGATCTGTGGATGAGAGACGCAAAAAGGTGTGGAGATAGAGGTAAATGCCATAATCTTCAAAGAAGATATTTTTGTGCCAGAAAGAAATAATAGATCTAGAACGTAATAAAAGATAAATAGTTAACTACATTGTAATGTGGTCTGAGGACTCACTGAAGGCATAGCCATTGATATTAACTTCCACTTCGCTTCCAGACAAAAGATTTTAAATATCTTAAAAATTCCATTTGATATTGTATGATTCATCAAGACAGAAAGTAAAGTTGTAGTTGCCCT
Source organism: Homo sapiens (assembly GCF_000001405.40). Taxonomy (NCBI): domain Eukaryota; kingdom Metazoa; phylum Chordata; class Mammalia; order Primates; family Hominidae; genus Homo; species Homo sapiens. The sequence goes on from NT_187365.1 coordinate 11,296, forward strand.
GGGAGGGCGGGGAATGGGGAGTCACTTTTTAATGGGTACAGGATTTCAATTTTACAAGACTAAAAGAATTATGGAGATGGGTGGTGGTGATGCTTGCACAACATTGTGAATACATTTAATGACACTGAATTGTATACTTAACAGTAGTTAAGATGCAAATTGTTGAGTGTGTTTTGCCACAGTTAAAAAACGGAAAACAATAGTATTTGAAGATATAGCCCATTTCATCTGGTAGCTAGCTGTATGTGTCTGCTCAGCTGTGGATAGATATTTATGCTGTTTCTGAACTGGAGGTTACTGGTATTCTCTAAGGTATAGGAAAATTGATCTTATGTGGCTAACTGAGGTGGATATAGTTGTATCAGTCAGACAGTAATGATATAATCATGATAGATTACATTTAACACAACTTACATGTGTTATACTTTAGAAAACACTTCATAGATATTATTACTTCATACCACTTTCCCCTTACATATTTGTCTCTCCTTTCTCAGATGACTTCAGAAAATGTCTCTTCCACACTACTCAATTCATCTCCTTATTTTGTCAAAATTTTAAGTCTCAGAGTCTCCAAAAAAAAATTCCAGACAAGTCTCATCACCTTTTGGTCATTGATTAATCGACATCCTTAGAGGCTTCCCCTTCTCAATTTAACATAGCTTCCCAATACACTTGCCAGTAAAACAAAGTTGTTTATATGGTTTTGTATTTCTTCCTGCTGAATTATGAACATTTTTTCATATTGACATTGATTTCCATCTGGCCATGAAATACTCAAGGTGAAGAAAATGAAACAAAATTGTTAATATTTATCAAGAGCCAGGTACTGTTTTCAGTGTCCTAGAAGCATAAACTTGTGTAATGCTCACCAGCTCATATGAGAGGCAAAAATGGATGAAACTATAAAACCAAGACACAGAGAGTTAAGGGAAATTTCCCAAGATCACACAGCCACTGAGGATATGAACTAGATTTTGACTTCAGGCTATTTACCCCAGAACCTGTGCTTTCAACCATCATTTGTACTGCTTCCCTAAATTACACTTGACTACACTGTGACATCAAATTTCACCTATGACACTGATTATCTGGGGAACTTTGCAACTTATTCTGAATATGACTCAGTTTTCTTTTCTGTACAGAGATAAAGTCAGTATATACTCCATAGATTCGTTATAAGTATTATATGAAATGACACATGAGAAGGCTTTAAAAGGACTTGGAAAGCAATAAGCTTTTTTGTTTTCAATCATTTTTCAATAGGTTATCAGTGTTGTGAATGGTTCATGAAAAATGACTTTGGGCTCAGAGAGTAACTGAAATGTTGTTGCATAATAGTGTGTTTAATATTAATATAATAGTAACAAATGTTATTGTTGAGTAATAGTTATTTGGCTTTTCACTGCTTTTCTTTTCTAGTGTTTTAGTCAGAGACTTCTTAAGTCTCCTCAAGTGTGTACACATTTCTTAAATTTGTTGGAAAGTACCAAATTTAAGATATCTTGAATTTTTCTTTTTCCTTAGCAAACACTAAATTCCATCACGCAGCAGAAAAAGGGCTCTGTTATTGTCGGTACAATGGTTTAATATTCACTTTTATTCCCTGTATCATAGTTCTGATTTAATTGCTATTTAGAATAAAACTTGTTCCTTATTATATGCATTCATAATTATAAAATTTGTGTTTTAATGCCTTCTACACATGTACTGTGCTTTTCTTTATTTCCTTATATCTTTTACTGTTTCATGATCCTGGTATTTGAAATCTCATTAAATGTTGTTTGGGGATTTGCTGGGAATGTCATCTACATAGTAATGTCTCAAGTTTGTAGCATCTTTAAAACATAATAGGAGATGGAATTCACAGCAGAGTAATAAGCCTCCCGCTTTAGGCAATGTATTTGTGATTGGTATGACTTTGTTCCCAGAGGGCACTTAGCAACACAATATTAAGGCTATGTGTACAAGGAAAACAAATTTTTAAAATCTCCTTAAAAAAAAAACAGTTCCCTATCCTAACCAGTATCATGCACAGAATCCGTTTCCACCTCTTCATATGGAAGCTGCTCTGGGTGGACATCTAGAAAGTTGGATAACTATTTATCACATATGATCTGTAAAGGGAGAGATTTACAAGAAAGTGTTAAATTTAATCCATAGGAAAGCAAAGTAAAAAATCAATGAATTTTCCATTTGTAGTTTTCCCTAGGGGCTCCACTCTCAAGATGGCTTATATGAGTTAGAATTAATTGACTAGGCACAATTGTTTGTTAGTGACATAAAAGCAAGGTGAGCATTTCTGCTTTATGAGTCCAAGCACAGGGACACTTGGTTTTCTTTGGAAGGATATCATAAAGGCAATGTTTATGAGTAATCCCTCATTGTCTTTCCTTCTGTAGCATTCAATGGTATGTACTATAATTTAGAAATGAAAACTACTTAAAGACCACTTGCTAAGTTTCATGTATTTCAAATTCTCAGATCCTGAGTGTTTAAATATGCCTATATTTCTTCATGAAAAAAACATAATCTTTGCCAAGTTAGAAAAAGAAAAAGTCATATTCCCATTTTTATCTAAATGTAATCAGAAATTTGGACAGTTTTTAGCCTTCAATACATTATGTAATTTGGGTAACAGGCTGAATAAAAGTAAGGAACTTCAGTTAAATTCAGAGAGAAGCTAGTAATTATTTCTAAGACTCAAATGTATAGAACAGATCTCTGATATTAAGGGTAAAACCCTCAAAGGTGACCCAAAATGGGTAATTGTGGGATTATTTTGGGAGGAATCATCATAGATTCTTACTGCTATAAATACAGTCAAATGTCAGATAAATATACTCCACTGAAATGTTTTCTAGGAATGATGTTGGAACCAATGTTGATAATTTTGAAAGTCATGGAGAGGATTTCAGATGATAGAAGTCAGGCAACTATCCCAGGTTTAATAAATAAGAAAATGGTGAGTTCCAAAAATGCTGTATCAATGAGCCTCATATTGATCCTGAGCACAATTTCAGGAAGGTCCATTAAATGGGTCTTTGGAGAGCACTTAGGATAAAAGGCTGGCAGCAGAGATTCACTAAGAGCAATGGTGCCAAGCTTGCCTCTTTGACATTGTTATGTGACTGATAAAGGTAGGCTATAGCGGTACACAATACAGATATTTCCAGGGTAAAGCTGTTGAGCTGCTGTAATTTTCCTTGCCTCTTCACTATCTTCTCCTATAGTTGACTCCCAAGGAAAAGATAGTTGACTTTTAATGTAGAAATGTATGTTAATTGGCAAAAACAAACAAATGAAACCATAAACTATCCTATAGGCTTCTCTCTGCTCAGTTATTAGATCATATGAATGTGCCCTTAGGAAACACAGAAGACCCACAATACTATAGAGACAAATTTCTTACATTCTCTGCTGTTTAATGCTCTTCAAAAGACTTACCATACTTCACTAATTTGATTACCAACTACTTGAACACAGGGACCAATGTGCTTATTAAAAATTTTGCATATTATGAGGGCATTAACTTTTAAGTATTCAATTGTTAAGACAATGCATATTATTATAAACCATAGAAGGCACACTTATTACCTCCTTAAGAACCAGTCTCTATTTCTCTGTTTCATAGATCTCCAAGGTCATAGAGGGATTGGACATTTGTGTCTTCAATTGGCCCTCTTCAGCCCTAGGATAAATAGTGATTAATCTAAGCCAATGGTTTTCGGCTCTGTCTGAGCCAATGCCTCTACTTCATAAGAAATTCTTCAAAGACCCCTTCGCTATTCTAAACTATTAGTGAGAACACAATGTATGCATTCAAGTTGTTGAAAATATTAATGTTATGCTGAAGCTAACAAAGGAGAAATAATTTACTGTCAATATATAATCCAAAATGTATATAATTGTGCCAGAACATTTACATATCAAATACAATAGAACATAATGAAATTTTCATATCTTCACCCATACTTTGAAACATTGTAAATAAAAAGCCACAAATATAGTTTCACTGAATAACCAAATGCCGAAACTGCCATTTCTATTGTTGACATGATTGATCTGCATTGGTAAATGTAATAGATACTTTCTGTTTGGCCCTTGTCCCCTGTTATACTCCCCTATTTACTGGCTTTTGTCCAAGTGGAATGGTCCATATTGAATATCTCAATCGGTTCCCTTGCTCATTGCCTTCCATGCATGTTCATGAGATTAAAGGGAAGGAGGAAATGAGATTGGGGGTTATTGCCTAAACTCCCTCTCTGCTAGGTCTCCTTGACCAATCTTTTTCATAAGAAAATTAGTGTTTCCTTGTGTGATAAGGGCAGTTTACTCCCCAGAACTCTGTCTGCTGCTACTAACCCAGAGTTATTGTGGGGTGTGATTTCTGTGATTCCTTCACCCTTCTCCCCTGACATTTTCGTAAGTAGTCTCTTTGGAAATAAACCCATGTTAAATTATCTTAGTTTGTGTGTGTTCTATTTTTCCTATTGAGACTCTGAAATGAGTATCTAAATGAAAAAATCTACCGTCTTTTCTCATATACATAGTAGTTTCATTCTTGCAAAATTCATGGCATATTAAAACCATGCAAAAGTACTTGGCACTTAGGCAGTTACATTTGGGATTGTATAATTAAACACAGCAGGTTATTCGCCTTCATTACATTAGAAAGTCATTCAGGACATACAGCAATCCTTAATTAGGAGCGGCTATCCCATGTTACTGGACATATGGCATCCCTGTTTTCCAATCCTTAAAGTTTTTCCTTAAAGTTCCAAAATGCCATCTCTTATTATTTCCTGCCATTGGATTTTGTCACATGAAGTTGTAAGGCTGGGAATGCCATAGCCATCTTGAAAACATAGGTAGAAAGATAAGAGAATCACAAAGAAGTGGATCATGTTGAATTAACTAAGCATTGATACCATCTATTTGTTGTGCGATTTGGTCAAAGTTGCTCTTTGTTTTTTTCTTCAGTTAGTTGACTATTCTGTTACTTGAAGCTAAAAACTTTTTTTTCTTTTCTTTCTTTCTTTTTTTTTTTTGACAGAATCTTACTCTGTTGCCCAGGCTGGAGTGCAATGGCATGATCTTGGCTCACTGCAACCTCTGCTTGCCTAGTTCAAGGAATTCTCACACCTCAGCCTCCCTAGTAGCTGGGATTACAGGCACATGCCACCACACTCAGATAATTTTTGTATTTTTAGTAGAGATAGGGTTTCACCATGTTTGCCAGGCTGGTCTCAAACTCCTGACCTCAAGTGATCTGCCCACCTCAGCCTACCAAAGTGCTGGGATTACAGGTGTAAGCCACTGACCCTGCCCAAAAACATTTCAACCAATAGCAAAGCACATTATTTCATTACATTTTTTCAAAAGTTGCCAGTAATTTCAATTACAAATATTTTATAACATGTTTAATGCAATACAAATGCTTTTCAATGTACAATGGGGTTAAGTCTTGATAAGCTGCTTATAAATTGAAAATACAGAAAGTTAAAAATGTATTTAATACCTCACTTACTGAATATCACAGCTTAGCCTGGCATACCTTTAATGTGCTCAGAACACTTACATCAGCTGACAATTGGGCAAAATCATTGAATACAAAACCCACTTTATAATAAAGTATTGGATATTTTATGTAATTTGTTGAATATTGTACTGAAAGTGAAAAGCAGAATGGTTATATTCTATTCAAAGCTATCACTTTTGCTTCATCATAAAGTAAAAAAAATCATAAATTGAACCATTATAAGTTGTTGACCATCAGTGTATATGTATGTGTGTGTGTACCTATATAAACATGTATGTTTATATATATATTTGTGTGCGTATATATCCTTGGTGTGTGTGTATGTGTTTGAGAGTGTGTGTGTGTGTATGAAATTGTAAGAAAGTAAAATTTCTTATCTTATAGCTATAGCATGTTAACATGTTGGTACCTATCCTCCTGAGATGTAAAATTTTACATGGATAGATGTGTACATTTACAGTTGTACACAAAGAGAAACATATTCTGTAGGCTCTTTGTTTTTCCGCAGTTTCATTCAACACTATCTGATTTATATGGATGATTACATATATAATGCTAGGATGAAGGTTCTTCTCTATAACTTTGAAACTTCCTTGATTATCAACCCTTGGTATATTCTTAGAATAGGATTTTATTTTAGAATTAAGATCCTTGTTTCAGGACTCTAGACTGTTAACACACAGAGCCAATAATTATTCAGAATGGTTGGGTTAGTTCACATTCCCACAGATGAGACATCAAATGTCCAGGCTGCACAGCCTCATTAACACTAGATTTTCTGGACATTTTATATAGTATTTCATCTTATATAAAAAGTAGAATTCTAATTTAATTATGGTTGTTAATTTATTTTTATCTTTTTAGTCATTATGAAAATGTTTAACTATATGAAAAGCTAGAAAAGATTTTTATTTTTTAAGTTAGTACTTCAGAAATATGTGTGATACTTAATTTTTAAAAATTAACTCTAAAAGAATCTTGAAATGTCTGTTCAATGAAATAGGATATAAATACTGGTCACATTAGTGAAAAATATTTGTTTAAAATTAAAATATCTGCAGCAATCCTGTAGATATTAATAATTTTTAAAGAATGACATCTTCAAAATATAAATGTTCTAAACTTATAATCAGTTAAATATGTCTCTATTAATACATATAGATGCATATATCTAAATAAATTTGAAGACTTCAAATTCCAGGTACAATATAATTTTTTCTATCCTGTAATTTGTCATTCAGTATTTTGTAATTTGAACAGAAATATTTTGCCCTAACCACATGTCTGTCTTTTCTCTTACCTAGAAATGTTCTTTTATGCAAAATTGTTTTAAAGGTCAGTTTGCATGTTTGAAAGCATCTTGTAGAATGTTACATAATATATTGCATATTTGGTACATTGTTTTAACTGTGTAAATATGGTTTAAATCTATGATGCACTTTAGTGCTGATCATGATGCAAAGCAAATTTATCTGTATAAAAGTCTCCTGTTAATTTTTTTTATTATTATATTTTAAGTTTTAGGGTACATGTGCACAGCGTGCAGGTTTGTTAGATATGTATACATGGGCCATGTTGGTGTGCTGCACCCATTAACTCGTCATTTAACATTAGGTATATCTCCTAATACTATCCTTCCCCCCTCCCCCCACTCCACAACTGTCCTCAGTGTGTGATGTTCCCCTTCCTGTATCCATGTTTTCTCATTGTTCAATTCCCACCTATGAGTGAGAACATGTGGTGTTTGGTTTTTTCCTTGCAATAGTTTGCTGAGAATGATGGTTTCTAGCTTCATCCATGTCCCTACAAAGGACATGAACTCAACATTTTTTATGGCTGCATGGTATTCCATGGTGTATATGTGCCACGTTTTCTTAATCCAGTCTATCATTGTTGGACATTTGTGTTGGCTCCAAGTCTTTGCTATTGTGAATAGTGCCACAATAAACATACATGTGCTTGTGTCTTTATCGCAGCATGATTTATAATCCTTTGGGTATATACCCAGTAATGTGATGGCTGGGTCAAATGGTATTTCTAGTTCTAGGTCCCTAAGGAATCACCACACTGAGTTCCACAATGGTTGAACTAGTTTACAGTTCCACCAACAGTGTAAAAGTTTTCCTATTTCTCCACATCCTCTCCAGCACCTGTTGTTTCCTGACTTTTTAATGATCGCCATTCTAACTGGTGTGAGATGGTATCTCATTGTGGTTTTGATATGCATTTCTCTGATGGCCAGTGATGATGAGCATTTTTTCATGTGTCTTTTGGCTGCAAAATGTCTTCTTTTGAGAAGTGTCTGTTCATTTCCTTTGCCCACATTTTGATGGGGTTGTTTGTTTTTTTCTTGTGAATTCGTTTGAGTTCATTGTAGATTCTGGATATTAGCCCTTTGTCAGATGAGGAGGTCGCAAAACTTTTATCCCATACTGTAGGGTGCCTGTTCCCTCTGATAGTGGTTTCTTTTGCTGTGCAGAAGCTCCTTAGTTTAATTAGATCCCATTTGTCAATTTTGTCTTTTGTTGCCATTGCTTTTGGTGTTTTAGACATGAAGTCTCTGCCCATGCCTATGTCCTGAATGGTATTGCCTGGTTTTTCTTCTAGGGTTCTTATGGTTTTAGGTCTAACATGTAAGTCTTTAATCCATCGTGAATTAATTTCTGTATAAGGTGTAAGGAAGGGATCCAGTTTCAGCTTTCTATATACCGCTAGCCAGTTTTCCCAGCACCATTTATTAAATAGGGTATCCTTTCCCTAGTTGTTGTTTTTGTCAGGTTTGTCAAAGATCAGATAGTTGTAGATATGTGGTATTATTTCTGAGGGCTCTGTCCTGTTCCATTGGTCTATATCTCTGTTTTGGTACTAGTACTATGCTGTTTTGGTTACTGTAGCCTTGTAGTATAGCTTGAAGTCAGGTAGCATGATGCCTCCAGCTTTGTTATTTTGGCTTAGGATTGACTTGGCAATGTGGGCTCTTTTTTGGTTCCGTATGAACTTTAAAGTAGTTTTTTCCAATTCTGTGGAGAAAGTCATTGGTAGCTTGATGGAGATGGAATTTAATCTATAAATTACCTTGGGCAGTATGACCATTTTCACGATATTGATTCTTCTTACCCATGAGCGTGTCATGTTCTTCCATTTGTTTGTATCCTTTTTTATTTCATTGAGCAGTAGTTTGTAGTTCTCCTTGAAGAGGTCCTTCACTTCCCTTGTAAGTAGTATTCCTAGGTATTTTATTTTCTTTGAAGCAATTGTGAATGGGAGTTCACTCATGATTTGGCTCTCTGTTTGTCTGTTATTGGTGTATAAGAATGCTTGTGATTTTTGCACATTGATTTTGTATCCTGATACTTTGCTGAAGTTGCTTATTAGCTTAAGGAGATTTTGGGCTGAGACGATGGGGTTTTCCACATACACAGTCATGTCATCTGCAAACGGACAATTTGACTTCCTCTTTTCCTAATTGAATGCCCTTTATTTCCTTCTCCTTCCTGATTGCCCTGGCCAGAAATTCCAACACTATGTTGAATAGGAGTGGTGAGAGAGGGCATCCCTGTCTTGTGCCAGTTTTCAAAGGGAATGCTTCCAGTTTTTGTCCATTCAGTATGATATTGGCTGTGGGTTTGTCATAGATAGCTCCTATTATTTTGAGATACGTCCTATCAATCCCTAATTTATTGAGAGTTTTTAGCATGAAGGTTTGCTGAATTTTGTCAAATGCCTTTTCTGCATCTATTGAGATAATCATGTGGTTTTTGTCTTTGGTCCTGTTTATATGCTGGATTACGTTTACTGATTTTCATATGTTGAACCTGCCTTGCATCCAAGGGATGAAACCCGCTTGATCATGGTGGATAAGCTTTTTTATGTGTTGCTGGATTCGGTCTGCCAGTATTTTATTGAGGATTTTTGCATCAATGTTCATCAAGGATATTGGTCTAAAATTCTCTTTTTTTTTGTTTTATCTCTGCCAGGCTTTGGTATCAGGATGATGCTGGCCTCATAAAATGAGTTAGGGAGGATTCCCTCTTTTTCTATTGATTGGAATAGTTTCAGAAGGAATGGTACCAGTTCCTCCTTGTACCACTGGTAGAATTCGGCTGTGAATCCATCTGGTCCTGGACTTTTTTTGGTTGGTAAGCTATTAATTATTCCCTCAATTTCAGAGCGTTTTATTTGTCTATTCAGAGGTTCAACTTCTTCCTGGTTTAGTCTTGGGAGAGTATATGTGTCAAGGAATTTATCGATTTCTTCTAGAATTTCTAGTTTATTTGTGTAGAGGTGTTTATAGTATTCTCTGATTGTAGTTTATATTTCTGTGGGATCGGTGGTGATATCCCCTTTGTCAATTTTTATTGCATCTATTTGATTCTTCTCTCTTTTCTTCTTTATTGGTCTTGCTAGTGGTCTGTCAATTTTGTTGATCTTTTCAAAAAACAGCTTCTGGATTCATTGATTTTTTGAAGGGTTTTTTGTGTCTCTATTTCCTTCAGTTCTGCTCTGATCTTAGTTACTTCTTGTCTTCTGCTAGCTTTTGAATGTGTTTGCTCTTGCTTCTCTAGTTCTTTTAATTGTGATGTTAAGATGTCAAATTTATTTCTTTCCTGCTTTCTCTTGTGGGCATTTAGTGCTGTAAATTTCCCTCTTCACGATGCTTTGAATGTGTCCCAGAGATTCCGGTATGTTGTGTCTTTGTTCTTGTTGGTTTCAAAGAACATCTTTATTTCTGCCTTCATTTCCTTATGTACCCAGTAGTCATTCAGGAGCAGGTTGTTCAGTTTCCATGTAGTTGAGTGGTTTCGAGTGAGTTTCTTAATCCTGAGTTGTAGTTTGATTGCACTGTGGTCTGAGAGACAGTTTGTTATACTTTCTGTTCTTTTACATTTGCTGAGGAGTGCTTTACTTCCAACTATGTGGTCAATTTTGGAATAGGTGTGGTGTGGTGCTGAAAAGAATACATATTCCGTTGATTTGGGATAGAGAGTTCTGTAGATGTCTATTAGGTCTGCTTGGTGCAGAGCTGAGTTCAATTCCTGTATATCCTTGTTAACTTTCTGTCCGTTGATCTGTCTAATGTTGACAGTGGGGTGTTAAAGTCTCCCATTATTATTTTGTGGGCGTCTAAGTCACTTTGTAGATCACTAAGGACTTGCTTTATGAATCTGGGTGCTTCTGTATTGTGTGCATATATATTTAAGATAGTTAGTTCTTGTTGAATTGATCCCTTTACCATTATGTAATGGCCTTCTTTGTCTCTTTTGATCTCTGTTGGCTTAAAGTCTGTTTTATCAGAGACTAGGATTGCAACCCCTGCCTTTTTTTGTTTTCCATTTGCTTGGTAGATCTTCCTCCATCCCTTTATTTTGAGTCTATGTGTGTCTCTGCAGGTGAGAAGGCTTTCCTGAATAAAGCACACTGATGGGTCTTGACTCTTTATCCAATTTGTCGGTCTGTGCCTTTTAATTGGAGTATTTAACCCATTTACATTTACGGTTAGTATTGTTATGTGTGAATTTGATCCTGTCATTATGACGTTAGCTGGTTACTTTCCTCGTTAGTTGATGCAGTTTCTTCCTAGCCTTGATGGTCTTTACAATTTGGCATGTTTTTGCAGTGGCTCCTTCACTTATGAAGCTTCGTTTGGCTGGATATGAAATTCTGGGTTGAAAATTCTTTTCTTTAAGATGTTGAATATTGGCCCCCACTCTCTTCTGGCTTGTAGAATTTCTGAGGAGAGATCAGCAGTTAGTCTGATGGGCTTCCTATTGTGGGTACCCTGACCTTTCTCTCTGGCTGCCTTTAAAATTTTTTCATTCATTTCAACTTTGGTGAATCTGACAATTATGTGTCTTGGAGTTGTTCTTCTCGAGGAGTATCTTTGTGGCATTCTCTGTATTTCCTGAATTTGTATGTTGGCCTGCCTTACTAGATTGGGGAAGTTCTCCTGGATAATATCCTGCAGAGTGTTTTCCAACTGGGTTCCATTCTCCCCGTCACTTTCAGGTACACCAATTAGACATAGATTTGGTCTTTTCACATAGTCCCATATTTCTTGGAGGCTTTGTTCATTTCTTCTATTCCTTTTTCCCTAAACTTCTCTTCATGCTTTATTTCATTCATTTCGTCTTCCAACGCTGATACTCTTTCTTCCAGTTGATCACATCGGGTAATGAGGCTTATGCATTTGTCATGTCATAGTTGTGTCATGGTTTTCAGCTCCATCTGGTCCTTTAAGGACTTCTCTGCATTTGTTTTTCTAGTTATCCATTCGTCTAATTTTTTTTCAAAGTTTTTAACTTCTTTGCCATTTGTTCGAACTTCCTCCTTTAGTTCAGAGTACTTTGATCTTCTGAAGCCTTCCTCTCTCAACTCGCCAAAGTCATACTCCGTCCAGCTTTGTTCCACTGCTGGTGAGGAGCTACATTCCTTTGCAGGAGGAGAGGCAGTCTGATTTTTAGAGTTTCCAGTTTTTCTGCTCTGTTTTTTCCCATCTTTGTGGTTTTATCTTCCTTTGGTCCTGGATGATGGTGACATACAGATGGGGTTTTGGTGTGGATGTCCTTTCTGTTTGTTAGTTTTCCTTCTAACAGTCAGGACCCTCAGCTGCAGGTCTGTTGGAGTTTACTGGAGGTCTACTCCAGACACTATTTGCCTGGGTATCAGCAGCAGTGGCTGCAGAACAATGGATATTGGTGAACTGCAAATGCTGCTGCCTGATCGTTCCTCTGGAAGTTTTGACTCAGAGGGGTACCCGGCCATGTGAGGTGTCAGTCTGCCCCTACTAGGGGTTGCCTCCCAGTTAGGCTACTCAGGGTTCAGGAACCCACTTGAGGAGGCTGTCTGCCCGTTCTCAGATCTCAAGCTGCATGCTGGGAGAAACACTACTCTCTTCAGAGCTGTCAGACAGGGGCATGTAAGTCTGCAGAGGTTATTGCTGTCTTTTGTTGGTCTGTGCCCTGCCCCCAGAGATGGAGCCTACAGAGGCAGGCTGGCCTCCTTGAGCTGTGGTGGGCTCCACCCAGTTCGAACTTCCTGGCTGCTTTGTTTACTTACTCAAGCCTGAGCAATGGCAGGCGCCCCTCCCCCAGCCCCACTGTAACTTTGCAGTTTGATCTCAGACTGCTGTGCTAGCAAACAGCGAGGCTCCGTGGGTGTAGGATCCTCCAAGCCAGGTGCTGGATATAATCTCCTGGTGTGCCATTTGATAAGCCTGTTGGAAAAGCGCAGTATTAGGGTGGGAGTGACCTGATTTTCCAGGTTCCTTCTGTCACCCCTTTCTTTGACTAGGAAAGGGAATTCCCTGACCCATTGTGCTTCCCAGGTGAGGTGATGCCTTGCCCTGCTTTGGCTCATGCATGGTGCACTGCACCCACTGTCCAGCACTCCCCAGTGAGATGAACCTGGTACCTCAGTTGGAAATGCAGTTATCACCTGTCTTCTGCATCACTCATGCTGGGAGCTGTAGACTGGAGCTGCTCCTATTCGACCATGTTGCCTCCATCCTCTAATTTTTAACTTTCAAACTATTAGATACATTTACCCTCTTCTGAATTTTAATTCCTGATAGAAAGATTGTGAAATTTCAAGAGGATAATGAATCAGCTTCTGATTATATTCTGTAATTACGATTTGATCACCCATCCAAGAATGCATATTCACTTTCCTTTACATTACACACATGCATAATACCATGCTGAGTGATACTGGAAAAAGTGAGTCTTCAGTAATGCCCTCATGAAATTACAGTCTCACTACACCGAGGTATTTTCTTTTTAACCCTTTTTTTCTTTTCTGCTGTGAATATGTGCCTTCTAAGAGATGAACGACTGGGAAAAACTGAAAAAGAACCTTTATCTAATTCAGTAACTACCTTTTGTATCTTCTAAGAATTTTTATCTCCAGAAAGCTCTAATCTTCATTCCTTTACAAGCTTTATTTCTCTCTCCTTTCCAATATCAGACATTTCTCTGTTTGTTTTCTATACCTTTTTTAGAGATGCCTACAATAGAAAAAAACTATGACATATTCAATACATCAGAAAAGTTTGCATTGCCATAGATAAGAATGAATTATCTGTTTATAAAGAAAAAAACAATAAAAATATGAAGCAAGAAAGCACAGAAGGTAGTAACCACATTTAGATGTTTATCATGGAATCATCTTTATAATCCATCTGTTACAATTCCACAGAGCAAATTACAAGTAATTGTGAAGTTTCCCCTCATTTTATAGGTTTGGTCTTATAAGGCATACAACACAAATTTTAATTACTTTTCTTTTTGGTATTTGGATCTTAATTTGGTCAAGTGGCCACTGGGTAGATGATGGAGCCTCTTGAGACATACAGTCTTCTAGCTTTGTTGATGTGAATATTACTGTGTAGTTTTCATTCACTTATTATTTTACAAGGCATGCTTCATTAAAAATATGTCAGCATCTCATTGACAAATCACAAAATTTAAAAGGCACAAGAAAAAAACAATTTATTTGAAACATTCCTGTGTAAAAGTAGTCACCACTCTTACTATTCTTCAAATATTTTTATTATATTTAAACACAAGCCTAGTTTTATCTCGAGTATCTGACCTTGATGATATTGTACACTTTAAACTTGGAAAAAATTGAACTCTATTGGAAATTTCCTACAGACCAGCTTTTCTAGATGCCAAGTGCCTTGTTTCACCTGCGGTGATGACAGCAAATTGGGTTCTCAGGGATTCTGGCCTCTGGCACCATCTCAGTTGTTTATAATTGAAGTTGGCTCTGACGAGAACTCAGCTTAGATGCATGGTTGGACTGCTGGGCTTAAGGCTGGCCTGCCAGGAGGTTGCATTGAGGTGTAACTAGGCAAAGAAAGAAGGAGTTTATTGAGTCACTACTGACAATAGCAAAGACTTGGAACCAACCCAAATGTCCAACATTGATAGACTGGATTAAGAAAATGTGGCACATATACACCATGGAATACTATGCAGCCATAAAAATGATGAGTTCTTGTCCTTTGTAGGGACATGGATGGAGCTGGAAACCATTATTCTCAGCAAACTATCACAAGGGGGAACATCACACACTGGGGCCTGTTGTGGGGTGAGGGGCTAGGGGAGGAAAAGCATTAGGGGATATACCTAATGAAAATGACGAGTTAATGGGGGCAGCACACCAACATGTCTCATGTATACATATGTAATGAACCTGCACGTTGTGCACATGTACCCTAGAACTTAAAGTATAATAAAAAAAAGAATGAGGTTGGGCAAAATTACCAACAATCTTCAACTATGAATTTTTATGAGTAGGGGCTTCCCACACCATCAGGCACTCCAAGTTGGAGAAACAAGGGATGTTGAATTGAAAGTTTAATTTTTTAGGCTTGGTAGTCAGATTAGGGAAGTTTTGGGTACACCTTTCCCACTCTAGAGCCCTCTCCCTAACTCACGGCCAATTTGGGACATGGGCTCAATGGAAAAGAGTGCCGAGATCAATTAGAAATATCCATCATGAACATAGGAGGCAGGCATTCTGGCCAAGGGGTGCGTCTTCCCACTTTGTAATCCAGAGTGCGATTTCTTCTTGCTATCTGTCCCTCCATAAATAAGCGTTGGGTGAAGGACAAGCTAGTTACAACTGAGGATGAAATGAGATTCTAGCAGAATTGCAAAATGAACTGAGAGCCACGAAAGTGTTCCTCTGTCAACAAGCAGAGAGATCTGTGGAAGGCAAAGGAAGAGGAGCCAAGAGGCCAGATAACATTCCTGCTTCCCCTACATTGTGAGAGTGAAATTATCAGTAACGTATATCAGTAACTAACCAGAAGCTTTTTAGAGAGTAAGACTTCTGATAGATACCTTAATAGCTGAAGTTGCTCTTCAGTACTGCACATAACCTGTGGACAGATTTTCATCATTATTAATTCATTTATTCAACAGATAGATATTAAATTCAAGGCATAGTTCTAAACTATGCAGTCAATTACAAAAAAAATAATGAAGGGCATTAGCTGTGCCTCATAGGATGTTAAAACTCTAGGTGCTGAATGAGACAAATAGGGTTCCCACATCAAGTGCCTGGGCTCCTGTTATAACCTGGACTGTGCTTCCAATGACTTCTCCTGTTTCTGTTTTGGTAAACCCATCATTTGGCTTAGTCCCTATCCTTGCCATGCTCACCCACCAGTAGGTGGACCTCCTTGACCATAACTACAGGCATAGATCTTTGATTGTTTCTTTACAAATGTTTGCTTACTTTAGAGCTGCAGTCAAATGTTGTTTGGACCATAAGACTCTGAGGGTGTGTGTGGTTGAAACTGTCTTGAGACTCAAAGAGCTATTGAGGAAGGGATTTGGTAGCTGAACTCTTTTGAAGTTTTTCTCTGTCTCTCACACATCTGGGGCTCAATAGCTTAATATATTGTTTAATTTCTACATCAATGATAGTTTAATAGGCATTCATGCAAATCAGTTCTGCTGGGAGTTTATTATCCTACTCCAATAGCAAGTAATGCATTCATTAAATTTAGTGTACATATAAATTCTACATGGTAAGTGAAGCTGTCTTTATGAATTGCTGCTATAGAATATACTAGATTGTGTAGGTTTTAGTACAATCCAGGTAATTATCAAGCCTTTGTAATATTTTCAGGAAAGGGATCCTTTCACTTCAGTTTATGGAACTTGGAAAGTTTTCAATGGCCACCCACTTGTTAGACCATAAACTTAATTCTATGTATCTGCATTTATTTTTCTATTTATAAATTTATCTGGATGTTTTCTCAAAGGTTTCCCAGATTAAAAACCTATGGCTTTGTAAAATTAAAACAGAAGTAATAAGAATTGTGTTAAAAAACAGAATCAGGCCAAGCATGGTGGCTTATGCCTGTAATGTCAACACTTAGGGAGGCCGAGGCGGGAGGATCATTTGAGGTCAGGAGTTAAAGACCAGCCTGGGCAACATAGCAAAACCCCACCTGTATTAAAAAAATACACAAATTAGCTGGCGTGGTGGTGAATGCCTTTATTCCCAGCTACTCAGGAGGCTAAGGCAGGAGAATAGCTTGAACCCCGGAGGCTGAGGTTGCAGTGAGCCAAGATAGAGCCACTGCATTCCAGCCTGGGTGACAGAGTGAGATCCTATCTTAAAAAGAAAAAGAAAAAAAGAAAAGAAAAAGAAAGAAAACCAGAATCATACAATGAGAGAGATTGTATAGCCCATTTAATTGTCCATAATGGATACATTTCTTTTTCTGTGTAATAGTTTATCAGCATGAAAATTTTCTTTTTCTGTGTAATAGTTTATCAGCATGAAAAAAAAGAGTCACTGAACACTGATAATTTTTTTTCTCTCTTTCTCTCTTTTTTTTCATTTTTTTGGAGATGAAGTCTCACTCTGTTCCCCAGGCTGGAGTGCAATGGCAACATCTCTGTTCACTGCAACCTTCACATCCTGGGTTCAGGCGATTTTCCTGCCTCAGCCTCCCAAGTAGCTGGGATTCCAGGTGCATCCCGCCATGCCTGGATAAGTTTTTGTATTTTCAGTAGAGACGGGGTTTCATCATGTTGGCCAGGCTGGTCTCAAACACCTGACCTCAAATGATCTGCCCGCCTTAGCCTCCCAAATTGCTTGTGATGATTTTCATTTAATGGTGTTCTACAAAGTGAGTTTAGGCAATGAAAGCGCACATGTCATCTATAGTTTACCAGAAAGTAGTACCAGTCACCAGCATTGAAGCATACTCCTAACACTGGAAAATTTCTTCAGCAGCCAGAATTAATCTCAGATTTTGAGACTGGAGCAAAGACTAATTTGGTATGTGTTCATTCAGATTAGTAAATCTCCATGGTGTTTGAACTGTATAATATCAAATCTAAAATAAGTCAAAAGAGTTGAACAATATCTCATCTCTGAGAAAAAAATGCATTATTTTCAACAGATTTAAGACTGAATTTAAAATCCAACTGCCTATTCTAGTGTATGTTTCTCTAGAATAAGGCCAAGCCCTACAAATTCTGGATAGTGTCCTCCAAGTTGTGTTTCAGTGATAATTGATAAATCTATGGTTTAGATACATATGGAATTCCATATAATTCTAGCTCCAGCCTTTGTGAGTAAAAATTGGCAGTGATCATGGCCTTAATGGGGGCATGTGGTTAATTGGAATTTTCAGTACCAAAAGTCGTCTTCTTAGTAGTTTATCAGGGTACCCTATAATAGTATCCATAACTCATTACCCACTTGTCTGTTTTGATTTCTTTTTTAAAAAGACAATTTTAAACTTAGAGGATTTGTACCTCAAGTCACATATGTGGCACATTTATAAAATAATCATGCTTTGCATATTTTTCCTTTGATATCTTAGCTATATATCCAAGCCATTTATGTTTTTTAATTGCCACAAATATTGCACTGAAATAGAGCACTAGTTGCAAAAATGCCTGGTATAACATTTCTTCTTGTTCTTGAAAGTTATTTTAATACCCCATGTTTAAGATATTCCTAGACAACTATATGTAACTATAATTATTTCTGCTAGGTAGAAACATCTTTGTGGTCAATATTTGTGAAGCGCCTTGTAAATAAAAATATGCTTGAGTAGAAATAGTATTTTGTAAATATATCCCTAAATAGAGCTACTGATTTTACCAAGAATTAAAGACTCCAAACTCTGTCTTTGTCTTTCAAATTAGGTTTATAGGAACATCTCATTACAATGAGCCAAAAGCTTATCTGATCATTAATGAGATAATTTTGACACTTCCAAATGACACAGCTAATTTGTAGTAGGTTTTTGAAGAGCAAATTACATGTTTCTGTTTAAATAATGACAGTAAAATATGGACACTATCTAGTCACACTCTATATACACAACTACAACATGTCTCTAGAAGAAAAGTTTAATTTTTCAGGTCTCATCCACAAAATGAAGTGTTAATAAGCTGTATCTTTATTCTCACTTTTAAGTAATTTCTTCTTAACCATCGTATAACACTACCAAAGTTTGTATGGAGATAAAATAAATCATGGTGAGAAATCCAGTTCTTTAAAAAATCATTTTACCTTCAATCACTTTTAGGATGTCTATGGTTTTAGAGTAAGGACAAAAATTTATAAACATTGTTAAATTATGCAACTGTTTTTGAAGATGTTTCAAAATTACATTTTCCTTATTTTACAACTAGTTTTCATGTATTCACAAATGAGACACATGAGAATTATTAATGCAAAAGCAAAGCATATCAACAAAGTTTATAATGTAAATGGTTTAGTTGGGAAAGAATGTAATGAGTGAATTATCAAAGCTATTTTATTGGTTCCTAGATTTACCATAGAAGAAAATAAAGCAGCCTTATAAAAATTTCTCAGCACTGAGTCCATTTAAGGTCTTCTTTGTATGCCGTAAGTTCTACAAAATGTTATTGCTGGTAAAAACAGGGTGCCTATCTAAAATTGTCTTTTTAAAGGTTCTCTCTTATTCTTCTTCCCTTCCTATGTGTGCACAGAATACTGTCATCATCTTGATTGGAATACTGTCTCTCTTTCTCAGAGGGTATACATTTGTAGAAGGGAGAAAATATTTGTTAATTTTGCTTCCTATAAGATAAGGTCTCAATGGTTGAAGGTCAGTTAACAAACATTTTTTTGTCTTCATACTATTATCTTGGAATTACCAACTGGCTTCTATTTAGTTTTTGAGTAATGAAAGAAAAGAACTAGCATTTGTTAGAACTTACTGTGTTCCAGAAACTTTATTGATACCATTTCTTCTCATTATCACATTCGTTCTTTCAATTAGTATTATTTTTTTCATCTTAATAAGGTGGGACCAGAGGTTTTGTAATATCTACTAACCCACTGTGGACTTCATGGCTTGCAAGAGGAAGAAAGCATGGTGGAACTCAGGTTTCTCTGATTCCAAATTCACGTCCTTTCATGTCTCCATGAAAAATAGAAAAGATAAGTTGGGCTCTATTCTAACAAGAGAAACACAATTTTCCGTCAGTTAAATGAATAATTCTTAAACCTCAAAAATAAAACGTAGCAAAACCTCAATTCAAGAGTAGACATAAAGGTTGTGGCATGGGTAGAAGGGACTTATGTCTAGTGACGTAGATTTGCTATGCATATCTGACCAAAAATCTCCCTCATGATTTTCAAATCAGATGAATAACTGCATTTAATGAGTGTCACGAATCATTAATATCAGTCTCTGAAAACAGGATCATTAAAAATGATTAAGATTTTCAACAACAAAGATTTTATCTAAATAGTAAGGAAATTATATTAGATGGCTCCATTCCCTGAGCAGTCTAGTTAATAATTCAACTTGTTCAAAGCTATAAAATATGGCAACTTAAAAAATTATGAAATTTTTCTAACTTTTTGCTTAAGGTAGTTGGCCATTCTTCCTCTTGGGAATAAGAAGGGCAGATTTTCTGTCGAAGCATTTTGCTATTGTTATTTCAATTTCCATTTATGGAAAATAGATAAAATAGCAATTTTTGTTATAAATTTAAAATCTAAATGGAGGTAATTAAGTATCTCCATTAATTAAGTAAAGATTAATTTTTCAAAAAATAGCATTTACTAAATTCTAATCAATCGATTGACTATTTTTATCCCTGGCTCAATGTAACTCTCTTTGACATACTCTTGTCTTAATTCTAGTTTATGTCAACAATGTGTAATCATAGATGACTCTTTGCCATTTTGATCTCTCAGTTCTATAAACACCTTTGATCTAACGATAATGTTTTCCAACAGAATTATTTCTACTCAAAATTCTGAGATGAAATTTGTGGATTTAGTCTCACCCCAATCAATTTTTCAACTCTCAGGACACCAGATGGTGTCCTACAATTCAATTCAATCCTGAGACTATCTATCTGGAGATAGCATCAGATCCCACAAGTTCAGGGTTCAGGCCCACAAGACTGCCCCCCCACCATTAGAGAGGAGTTGTGGGCCTCCCATACTCCTGACCAACTGGCTATAAATTAGGACTTCCATGGATTCCTTCCCCAGGTTCTATAATTTGCTAACATGGCGCACAGAACCCAAGAAAGCACTTTGCTTACAGTTACTGTCTGATACAAATCAGGAACTGTCAAATAGAAGAGACACATAGGGCCCGGTATGGTGAAAAGGGGCACAAAGCTGCCATATGACCTCTAAGTATATCATAGTATCACCCTCCCAGCACCTCAGAGGTGATGGAGGAGAGGGCTGACAGTTTCAACCATCTAGTTATGCCTTCATGTTTCTGGTGTCCAGCACCCACCCTGAAGCTATACAGGTCTCCAGCCACCACTCATGTCATGCCAATAGCATAAACTCAGGTATGGCTAAGAGGGACTTATGACTAGTAAAGGATGGTCCTCTCATCTCTATCAGGAAATTTCAAGTTTTATGAGCTCTGTTCTGTGAACCGGGGAGGAAGACCAAATAGGACATACACTAGACCAGTTGTGCTAACTACTGTGTGCCTCAAAATTGCCTACAGTTGTGTTACAATAAGAGATTGCTGAGACCTGCTATTGGAATTTCAGATTTGGTAGATCTGGGGGTGTAACCTGAGAATATGCAGTTCTAGTAAGTTCCCAGGTGATGCTGTTGCTGCTAGCACAGGGACCACACTTCCAGAGGGACTGAGTGAAGCATCTTCGTTACTTATAATAGCAACTTCTCTGTAGTCACAATTTCATTCATCCCATTCTCTGAGCTCCTCCTTTAATCATTCCCTTTCATACGCTGACATAAAATTTTTCAATCTCTCTGAGACCTCCAAACTATTATTTTGTCATATTCATAATGACCCTTACCTACTGATGTACTCTATTTCCTGTTCTCCTGCCTAAATTCCATGGCCAACCATTCCCAGGAAACTTCAACTTCCTGGTTTCTCTTTCACTTTGCTGAACCTAACCAGAAAAATAACCCTGGTTAGATCCAAATTTCTACCAAATCCCCACATATATTTTAGCAACTAGCTATATGGATCAAATAGAAAAATATCCCACTTGAAACTGAGAATCTGAGTGCCGCCTATCAATCAATCATACTACATATGTTCCAATCTATTCACTCTCTAATTTACCTAGTTTTGTATCTTATCCTGTCTCTAATCCCTAACACTTCCCCAGAAATCCTCAATGTCTTTTTGGTTGTGCTTCCCTGAGAACATTGAATCACCCAAAAGACAACTTCCACAGACTCCTGAAACCATTTAAACTCGCTTTCCCATGTCTACACCCACATACTCTCCATTTTCACCTACTATTATCTGTGAAATAACTGGCCCCTATCTGTATATTGTCTGATGATGATTTCTATATTACAGGTGAAGAAAATGAGAATACGGTTAGAGCTACTTTCTCATTATAGCATAGCTTAGAATCAAACCCACGCAGTCCACCACTGAAACTGGGATTCCAAGTCAGTGTATTTGGAGAAGGAGAGCTAGTAGAAAAACAAGGATGAAAATATCCAGGATGAAGTTTCTGATGGAAGAAAAGGACATTTTTACTATTATGAACTCCTTGAAGTAAACCCTAAGCATTCTCATCTAGACAAATATCCATTCATCCACTCCAGTGAGCTGATTAAGTTTTAGGATTTTAAGGGTCAGTGAACAATTATTAGTCTTTCAGCAATTAAAGAAGGATTAATATGAATATTATATTGGAGAAGTTTCATTTAAAACATATTTGATTGATTTTTGGCAATTGTCTTCTATCAGATCATTACCAATCCATATGAGTTGGTAGGAAGGGAGAAAACCCAAAACTTAACCAGATACCTGAAGTTAGGGAATATTTTATAACCAACCCAGGGGGAAAAAATGCTCAAAAGGGGAAAGATGAGGACAGAAAATACATTTCAAAGATTTTAACTTTTTGACAAAATGTCAATTCTGTGCAAGAAAAACTGATTGTGTGAATATAACTTTGTCATTTACATCTGCCAATGTATTCAGAAATATATAATCTATAAGTTTTTAATAGTAGTTTGTTAACACAAAATTTATTCATCAAAGTATCTAAAACATTCTAAAAACACTAAAAATTTTCAATTTAAAGATTAAGCTAAACAGCTCTGTATATATAAGTAAGCTCAAACAAACGTGCATGCTCCCCAACAATAACACTGCTACAGATATTGACTGGTGGTTTTGGTTTAATTTCATCTTATAATGGCAAATCTGGTTAAGACCCAGATTCTGGGCTGGGCGTAGTGGCTCACGTCTGTGATCCCAGCACTTTGGGAGGCTGAGGCAGGCAAATCACAAGATCAACAGATCCGGACCATCCTGGCCAACATGGTGAAACCCTATCTCTACTAAAAAAACATACAAAAGTTAGCTGGGTATGGTGGCACGTGCCTGTAGTTCCAGCTACTTGGGAGGCTGAGGCAGGAGAATCGCTTGGACCTGGGAGGCAGAGGTTGCAGTGAACCGAGACTGTGCCACTGTACTCCAGCCTGGTGACAGAGAGAGACTCCATCTCAAAACAAAACAAAATCCCAGATTCTGAATTGAATCTCACAATAAGGATCTCAATTGCCTCAAAGAGAATAAAATACCTAGAAATCCAACTTACAAGGGATGTGAAGGACCTCTTCAAGGAGAACTACAAACCACTGCTCAATGAAATAAAAGAAGATACAAACAAATGTAAGAACCTTCCATGCTCATGGGTAGGAAGAATGAATATTGTAAAAATGGCCATACTGCCCAAGGTACTTTACAGATTCAATGCCATCCCCATCAAGCTACCAATGACTTTCTTCACAGAATTGGAAAAAACTACTTTAAAGTTCATATGGAACCTAAAAAGAGCCTGCATTGCCAAGTCAATACTAAGCCAAAAGAACAAAGCTGGAGTACGAAGCTACCTGACTTCAAACTATACTACAAGGCTACAGTGACCAAAAGAGCATGACACTGGTACCAAAAGAGAGATAGAGGCCAATGGAATGCAACAGAGCCCTCAGAAATAATGCCGCATATCTACAACTATCTGATCTTTGAGAAACCTGACAAAAACAGGAACTAGGGAAAGGATTCCCTATTTAATAAATGGTGCTGGGAAAACTGGCTAGCCATATGTAGAAAGCTGAAACTGGATCCCTTCCTTACACCTTATACAAAAATTAATTCAAGATGCATTAGAGACTTACATGTTAGACCTAAAATCATAAAAACCATAGAAAAAAACTAGGCAATACCATTCAGGACATAGGCATGGACAAGGACTTCATGTCTAAAACACAAAAAGCAATGGAAACAACAGCCAAAATTGACAAATGGGGTCTAACTAAACTAAAGAGCCTCTGCACAGCAAAAGAAACCACCATCAGAGTGAACAGGCAACCTACAGAATGGGAGAAAAATTTCACAACCTACTCATCTGACAAAGGGCTAATATCCAGAATCTACAATGAACTCCAACAAATTTACAAGAAAAAAACAACCCCATCAAAAAGTGGGCGAAGGATATGGACAGACACTTCTCCAAAGAAGACATTTATGCAGCCAAAAAACACATGAAAAAATGCTATCACTGCCCATCAGAGAAAAGCAAATCAAAGCCACAGTGAAATACCATCTCACACCAGTTAGAATGGCAATCATTAAAAAGTCAGGAAACAACAGGTGCTGGGGAGGATGTGGAGAAATAGGAAAACTTTTACACTGTTGATGGGACTGTAAACTATTTCAACCATTGTGGAAGTCGGTGTGGTGATTCCTCAGGGATCTAGAACTAGAAATACCATTTGACCCAGCCATCCCATTACTGGGTATGTACCCAAAGGATTATAAATCATGCTGCTCTAAAGACACATGCACACATATGTTTATTGTGGCACTAGTCACAATAGCAAAGACTTGGAACCAACCCAAATGTCCAACAATGATAGACTGGGTTAAGAAAATGTGGCACATATACACCATGGAATACTATGCAGCCATAAAAATGATGAGTTTATGTCCTTTGTAGGGACATGGATGAAGCTGGAAACCATCATTCTCAGTAAACTGTCGCAAGGACAAAAAGCCAAACACCGCATGTTCTCACTCATAGGTGGGAATTGAACAATGAGAACACATGGTCACAGGAAGGGGAACATCACACACTGGGAACTGTAGTGGGGTGGGGGGAGGGGGGAGGGATAGCATTAGGAGATATACCTAATGTAAATGACGAGTTAATGGGTGCAGCACACCAACATGGCACATGTATACATATGTAACGAACCTGCACGTTGTGCACATGTACCCTAAAACTTAAAGCATAATAATAATAAAAAAAAAGAAATGAAAACATATGTCCACACACACACACAAAAAGAAAAAAATAAGGTTCTCAAAGAGGTCAATATGTATATAATCTATTCTTAAAAAAATTCTCCAATTGTTTATTGAAATATCACACAGGCTCTGACTTTGTTTATACCCTTAAGAAGTACGTAGATTCATGTATAGCTTTTGTAAAGTGAAAGCTCAGAATGTCTACTCTGTTCTGGTACCACTTCAGTTTAATTGTTGGAAAATATTTAATAAAAATGAATTACTCAACAAATGGAAAATTTGAACTTTGCATACTAAATTTTTACTTCATATTATCAACTCTTGAAAAATAAGTGTGTCTATTAGAAATGGCACTCATTTGACTATACCATAATATATTTCAGACTTTTTATCTTCAGCTACAGAATTTCTCCGTCCTTTGAATTATGTTAGCGGGCATTATTTGGCCAGTATTGGTGATCCACCTCCACTAATTCGCAACTCTATTATCTTACCCCCAGGGATGCATTTCCATAGTTCTGCCTTGTTATAAGTGTCATTTTTTTCTTCTGTTTTGTTGACTGCCATTCAAGTAGTTTTGGCTTTATCAGAGATTTTCACTTTATTGTTTATCACCTCCTCATTTTTTTAGCTTCTCATAATTTACTGTATTATATCTGCCTGGGCTTTTGGTTCCTTTACAGATTTGTTTCATTTTATTTTTAGCTTATGATACTTCTAAAGTCTGTACCCTTTTAATTTTCACTTGCTTCATCGTCACATTCTTGTGTTTTGTTTTTATTTCAAAATACCAGAAAGTAGGATGTCTCAGCATATTGGTGAGTGGAATAGTTTATTTATAATGCAAAAAAAACCCATACATTTTGAGAGCTATCTGCTTCTGAGTAAAAATTTTATATATAAATTCTTGAAAAAAAATCTTAAACTTCTGAGGGATTGAATGAGATTTTAAAAATCATTCTATATAACAACAGGTGCAAAATTTGTATTCCTCTACTCAAGAGAAATAATGAACATTTGTTATTAGTTTACTAACATCTAAATGTTAATGTATTCAATTATACATTATTAAAACACAATTCAGCTTAAGAGGTGGAAAAGTATAAAACAAACAAGTGTATAATTTACCTTTATTCATATGAAATATATTTTTCTCTCCTGAAAATAAAGATTAACCAGTGGTGTGCTCAGGCGGGAGGGGGTGTGTTGGAGGGAGAAAAGCCATGATTTGCCAATTTCAGCACAAAACTGAAAATGGTTATTAATCTTTACTAGCTCCAGATATCTTTTAACATATATTGAAATCTATGACCCTTAAAAAGAAAACATATATATAGATTTTGACAAAACTTTGCAGTTCCACTCATGGATCCCTGTGTAAGAATCGCTTTTCTATGTGTGTTTGCAATTTAAAGAGTTCAGACTTTATGATTCACAGGTGACAACTAATGATTTAATCTCAACACTTAGGCTTTTATAATATGGGAGTCAGGTGTTTAACTGCTGTAGTAGTAACTACTTCTTCTCAGAGAAACTTAGGAGCTAAGACCAAGGAAATGTCCCTTGGTATGCAACACATCTCTTCTTTCTGAACGTACAGTATAAGAAGCTAACTTTGTCTCAAAGTTTATATGACTTTTGCATTTGCAGTTACTAGCTATTTTCTTTTGGAACTGTTGGACTTGGAGAACTTTCCCTCTACCCTCTGAAGGTGTGATAACTGAGTCTATTGAATTAATGGCATGTCAAAAGAAGAAAATGTGTACACATTTATTACACACATGGGGGAATCACAGGAAAGAAAAGTGGAATCAAAAACAAAACAAAACAAAACAAACAAAACACCACCAAGAAAAAACCCCAGTGAGATTTAGGAGCTTATAAGGAAGGCAGGAGGAAGAATGTAGGAAACTTAGGGGAGAGCAAATGATTTTTGGGAAAGATGACCAGACCCCTAGGAGAATAGATGATAGTTTATGGCAGTCTGTCTTGGTGTGGAATGGACTCTTAGTCTTGTCTCCTGTGGTATGAGGAGTTAATTTTCCCTGGCTGATGAAACTCCTAGGAAGGAGATGAATGTCTTTGTGCTGACAAGACAGTATCTTTAAGCTTTGTTTTCCAATTCAGTTCTAAATCTGCAGTGTATAAAAATCTCCTCATCATGCTTTGGATGTCATGGTAGATAAATGGTATCTTTACAAAGATACATTCATTCTGGTATTGAAAGTTCCTTTTGGAGGATCTCACTTGAGGAACGTAAAGGGAGTGCAGAGAAAGCATGTCCCACAGTTGTTATTTTTCACATATTTTCAGTTCGATGTAATCAGTACACCAAAGCAATCCATTTAGGACTGGCATTTCCTGAGCACCTTCAGAACTCTTTTTATCCCATGTTATTTCTATGAGATCACGTGATTTAAGAACAACTTTTACTTGCCACTTACATATATATTGAAAAGGCAAACTTTCCTTTCATAATTTGCTAATTTTGGCAAAGTACTTTAACAAAAGTTAAATTAAGTGAGTAAGTGAAATTTTCTGTTCTATTGTTTTGTAAACAATTCTAGAAACAGTCCTTGTAAGAACAGCAAAAAGAGAAAAAGATAATTCTCAACTGCAGCTTCAACCATTCTTTGTGTAACAACGTATCTAATTAAAAGGCAAAACTCTCTATTTCAGGTTTATATATATCAATTGCTTGATTAGAAAGTAAATTATTTACCCCACATAATCTGTTGTCAAAAAACTTATAATAAAATTACTTTGATTTTATTGCTTATAAGTTTGTGAATTTAAATGTCAACTTACAGTGATGAATTTATTTGCTTTGTGCTGACAAGACAGTATGTTGAAGTTTTGTTTTCCAACTTAGTTCTAAATCTGCAGTGTATCAAAATCTCCTCATTGTGCTTTGGACGTTATGGTACATAAATGGTATCTTCACAAAGATATATTCATTCTGGTACTGAAAGTGCATACTTAAAATTCTTCATGAACAGTTTTATTGAAAAAATATGTAGACAAACCATTAATTATACACAGTGATCTGGAACAAATTCTTACAAGAAGCATAGCATGTCTTCCATTAACTGTATACAATTTATAAAAAGTTACTGAAAGTCTTCCTGAGGTTAAACAATAAATCTTTTAAATTTAACCACTGTGCTCCCTCAAAGGTAATTTTTTCTTTATGACACTCACTTAGGGGATACAGTCGGATCTCAGCCTACTTTAAACAACTAGGCAGTATTTTTAGCGCACTTTTCTGTTTGTTAAAAAGCTAGCTGTCAAGAATAAGTTGCTCAATTATCTTCCTCAATTACTTTTTATTTTGTTTTGTAATTATTATTCTATTTTGGTTTCCCTTTAGAATTGTGGACTATCTTGAATCAGAAATTGCAGAGAATATATCAATAAGTAATAATGCACTCTTCAATCAAACTAGATCTCGAAAGTGTTTTGTTGTAGTTTATACCGTGAACTCGAAGGCCATTCTATACAAGGCACTTGAATAATTTTCAAGCTCTTATATTTCATAATAGTACAGAATTTATTGTTCTTTTATTTGCAAGGAGATAGACCAGATAAAATATCACTTTATTTTTTACAGTGTTGACTTTGATATTCTAAACTTGTCAGTTTATACAGATTAATGAAGACTCCGTACAAGTAAAATTCACTATAATTTTTTTCTTGTATGACAGTCCAAACAAATAGTAACTACATACCCAAACAGGTAAAGTAAAAATATACAATAGCTTGACAAAAAAAAAAAGAAGAAAAAAGAAACCCCTATACATTCCTTAACATTCTAAAACTCTGAGGACCAAATTGAATTCAAAAGAAACATTTCTGGTGGGCAGGGAAAGGGCTAAAAAGCTAAAGTATATAATAAGTAAATTCCTCATTGCTATAAAATATATGACCAGCATGACATTTCAATGCATGTTCAAGTTTTCTGAAAAAAGTTCTAGGATAATAGGATTTCAACTTTTGATTCTACAGATATCATTCTTGTGATTGGTATGGTAGGATC